>NC_000006.12:158707153-158858668 GCF_000001405.40 Homo sapiens
ATCTACTATTTCCTGTATTTACATTAGCTAAGTGCTATTCTTAATAATAAACGCCCTCTATGGATATCTCTCGCAGGCAAACATGAGACAGTTGGAGGGCAGCTCTTGCAATCTTATCAGAAGCTGAGGTGAGTGTTACAAAGGACAGACCGTCCCTGGCCCTCCGGGGCAGGAGCGCAGAGGACACTCTGCAAGAACTTATAGGTCTCTTGACTTTCACATGTCACTGCTTTGGAATGTGACTCTTTTTTTTTTTTTTCTTTTAAAGATAAAGTTCCTGAAAAAGATTAAAGCAGAGATGTTTCCAGATTCTCATGAGAAACCTTCTAGTTAGCATAGTATTTTCTCACTAGACATTCAGCTCTACTTCTTAAATTCTCCTGAAGTGTTATAAGGAAACTAAATATTATGTTTAATTGCGCTTAAGTGAAATTCTAAAGCAAGCATGTGCTTTGATTAATCATGCCTATCTCTAACACCCTACCCAGCGCCTGGCGCGTTAGAGATACTGGTGAAATAAACATTGATAGAATTGAATAATGGCCTGAGAGATGTGAACTTCTTTGCACAAAATTCTAAAAACTGAGCAGTCATGAAGCTGGCCATAATTCACACACCTGATTACACTCAATTTATTAAAGTGTTTCTGAAAGCTCCCCACCAGCTGCTATTTTGTTTGGCCCATGGTGAAATTTTCCAATATCGAGACTTTTTCATTTTTTTCCTCCCCTGTTCTTTCCCATTTCTTTTAGCACAAGCTTCCAGTTTGCTTCGTGGTTGATTCTCACATCCACAACATTTTTGGCGCTTCTGCTGGTGTGGTTTGTGCTAAGAGAACACGGGAGCGCAGATGGGAACCAGGGGTTTCCCCGCAGCCAGGTGGCAGGTCCAGGCCGGAGCACCCAGGCTGTTTCAGAACACATGACTGAGTGGGGCGGAGTACCCAGACTTTAGGCAGCATCGCCCTCATATAGATACCAGGAAATCATGCCCCTCGTAGAGCAGCAGGTCCAAGCAGGGCTGCTGGCTATTTTTCCAAAAAGTGAGGCAGTTTAAAAAAAAGGCGGAGAACTAGAATTATAGAATAATGGCACATTTTGTGTATTTGTAAAACTAACGGCTTGCATGGTTCACAACCCATTTCTTATGCCTGTGTTTTCCTTGGCAGCAAAATTTCTGTGGTTCCTCCTACTCCACCTCCTGTCAGCGAGAGCCAGTGCAGCCGCAGTCCTGGCAGGGTAACGTATCCATTCTGGGCACTTCTCTAGTAGGGGTCAGGGGATAGAAGGAGAGGAAGCAGGGGAGCTTTCGAGGCTGAGGCCGGGCACGGAACCTCCCAGCAAAGGGATCTGACTGTGCCTGGAGCGGGTCACAAAGCGGGGTGGGGAGCGAGGGCCCTCAGGCTGGGCAGAGCTTCTCTCCTCATTCTGGTCGCGGGACCCTCTGTGTCATCAGCGACCCTTTCTGCCTGCACCCGAGGTCTCTTTACTCTTGGCATGGCATCGGCCCCCTTCCCCAACTCTGCTCTGTGCTGGGCGTGTGTGTAGAGTCTCTGGGGTCTAAGGGGAAATAAGATTGGTTAACGTGTGTGTGAGTGGGAGTGTCTCTTTTGAGTGTTTGCAGGCTCTGATGTACAGTGGACCAGCACCATTTCTGTCCAAAGAAATTAGCTGTGTGATCTTGGGGCAGTTACCTGGGTTTCCCACCTGAGAGGTGGAAATAATTATACAGGTGCTGCTTGACTTATGATGAGGTTATGTCCCAATACGCCCAAAGTAAATTGAAAATACTGTAAGTCAAAAATATATTTAGCTAGGCGCGGTGGCTCACGCCAGCACTTTGGGAGGCCGAGGTGGGTCACTTGAGGATAGGAGTTCGAGACCAGCCTGGCCAACATGGTGAAACCCTGTCTCTACTAAAAATACAAAAATTAGCTGGTCATGGTGGCAGGCACCTGTAGTCCCAGCTACTCTGGAGGCTGAGGCAGGAGAATTGCTTGAGCCTTGGAGGTGGAGGTTGCAGTGAGCCAAGTGCCACTGCCCTCCAGCCTGGGCAACAGAGCAAGACTCCATCTCAAAAAAAATAAATTGTATTTAATACACACCTAACCTACCAAACATCATAGCATAGCCTAGCCTGCCTTAAAAGTGCTCCGAACACTTGCGTTAGCCTACAGTTGGGCAGAATCATTTAATGCAGAGCCTATTTTATAATAATAAAAATGTTATTAATAATACAAAATAGAAAAGATCAAAATGCAAAGTACGGTTTCTACTGAATATATATTGCTTTCACACCATCATCAAGTCAGAAAATTGTAAGTCAAACCATCGTAAGTCAGGGAGTGTCTATATTTGTATATATCGTCTATATTTGTATGGCTGTTGTGAGAAATTAACAAAATAATGTCTGTGTTGGTACTTGGAAAACCGTAAAGTGCCATGGAAATATATTGTCTTGGTTATCTTCATTATTCTATAAATTAAAGGGGGCAGGTATATATGGGAGAATATGGGAGCTGATCATAATCCCAGAAGACATAGTCCTGAGTGCTATCATCCTGAATGTTGGAATCCTGAAAGATCAAAATCCCAAAAATATAATTCTAGAAAATCTAAAAATGATTTTGAAGAAATTTATTTAAAAAATTTAAAGGGGATTTGAGAAACATGTAAAAACATGACAACAGCCTGGGCAACATAGCAAGACCCTATCTACAAAAAATAAAAAAATTAGCTGGATGTGGTAGCACATGCCTGTAGGCTCAGCTACTCAGGAGGCTGAGGGAAGAGGATCCCTTGAGCCCAGGAGGCCAAGGCTACAGTGAGCCATGATTGCGCCAATGCGTTCCAGCCTGGGCAACAGAGCGCGACTGTCTCTAAACAAACAAACTAAAAACAAAAACCATGACAGAACACTTAACTGGCCACTTTACACAATAAATAGGCAAAAACAGCATGCATATTTTTGCAAGCATAAACACTCAGATATACTAATGACAGTCACATGGGTATAACAATTATGAACAGATGAACCATATTCATAAAGAAATACATCAGAAAGGGAAGTGTAGAAATACACATTACTATGGCTGGTATTGTGTGCATCCAGCTTTGTAACTGAAATATTGTCATGAACAGCAGTATTTTTCAAACAGTCATTTGATGAGATGGATCAAAAACCGCCATGGGTCACCATTGCATATACAGTCACCCAAACAGCTGAGATCTCAAGAAATTTTATCTTTTGCAAATACAGATGTACAAAAAGGAGATCTCTTCCCTTAGGAAATATCAACATCTTTATGTACATGTCAGAGTCATGGTGTGATGACGTACTTTGAAGCATGGAGTCAGTTTTCAAAAAAAAAAAAATGCATAACACAAATTAAAACTCTAAAAGTGTCTGTAATTTTTACCTCCAGCATGGGACATGATGAGAACGTGAACTACACAGCATAGCAAACTGTGCTGTGTGTGAAGGGGCAGAATTCATACACAACTAAACTAAATAATTTGGCAGCGGAGATTTCTTGTATTTTTTTTGCCTGTGTTTTTACTTCTAAGATCTTTGAAACACTTGCTGCACTTGTATTTGGAGAGTGGTTGTGGTCTAAGCTTTTTTTTTTTTTGCTTTTTTCTTTTTTTGAGATGGAGTTTCACTCTTGTCCAGGCTGGAGTGCAATGGCGCAATCTTGGCCCATCACACCCTCCACCTCCCGGGTTCAAGCGATTCTCCTGCCTCAACCTCCTGAGTAGCTGGGATTACAGGCATGTGCCACCAGGCCCAGCTAATTTGTTTTGTATCTTCAGTAGAGACGGGGTTTCACTATTGGCCAGGCTGCTTTTGACCTCCTGATCTCGTGATCTGCCCACCTCGGGCTCCCAAAGCGCTGGGGTTACAGGCGTGAGCCACCTCGCCCAGCCAGGTCTACGCATTTTGTAAGCACATGCTGTCCATTTGAAAGGCTGGTTCTTGCTCCAGTCGTTGCAATTAAGCCATTTCCTACTTTTGCAACACCAATACTAATTAGCTTTTAAACTTTTACCATTCATTATTAAATAACCTTATACTCATATCACAGGCTTTTTGGTGAAGGAACCGTTTCACAGATCTCTTCTGTTGTGTTGTGAGGAATACAATAAGAAGGAATGATAGGTGGCTTCCTCAATACCAAATCTGTATTAGGGTTCTCCAGATAGACACAGCCAATAGGATATGTATATAGATACATGAGAGGAGTCTTACTAGGGGAATTGGCTCACGTGATCACGGCAGCTGAGAAGTCTCTCCACAAGCCATCTGCAAACTGGAGACCCTGGGATACCAGTAGCGTGACTCAGTCCAAGTCCCAAGGTGTCGGCGCCAGGAAAGCTGATGGTGTTGTTACAGGAAACAGACCCCAAGAAACGGTTCTTGAATCTCGCGGAAGAAAGAATGCAGGGCGAGTCCACAGAGTAAAGTGAAAGCAAGTTTATTAGGAAAGTAAAGGAATAAAGAACGGCTACTCCATAGACAGAACAGCCCTGAGGGCTGCTGGTTGCCCATTTTTATGGCTATTTCTCAATGATATGCTCAACAAGGGGTGGATTATTCATGCCTCCCCTTTTTAGAGCATGTAGGGTAACTTCCTGATGTTGCCATGGCATTTGTAAACTGTCATGGCACTGGTGGGAGTGTAGCAGTGAGGACGACCAGAGGTCACTCTTGTTGCCATCTTGGTTTTGGTGGATTTTAGCTGTCTTCTTTACTGCAACCTGTTTTATCAGCAAGGTCTTTATGACCTGTATATTGGGCTGACCTCCCATCTCATCCTGTGACTTAGAATGCCTTAACCATCTGGGAATGCAGCCCAGTAGGTCTCGGCCTCATTTTACCCAGCTCCTATTCAAGATGGAGTTGCTGTGGTTCACATACCTCTGACAATGTAACTCTCAGTTCAAAGCTGAAAGCCTCAGGACCCAGGGAGCCTCTGGTCTAAGTCCTGGAGTCCAATGGCCAATCAGCCTGGGTTCTGATGTCCAAGGCAGCAGAAGAAAAGTCTGTTCCAGCTCTCAGAGACCAATTCATTTGCTGTATTTGTTCTCCTTGGGCCCCTGGTTGAGTGGGTGGTGCCTGCCAATATTGAGGGCAGATCTTTCTAACCGAATCCACTCAGACTCACACACTAATCTCCTCTGGAAACACCCTCACAGACACACCCAGAATAATGCCTTACCAGGCTTCTAGGTATTCCTGAAGCCAATCAAGTGGATGCCTACAATTAAGGTGTCATTAATTAAGTCCACGAGTCCACCCCTTGTCAACCTGTACCCATAGGCTCTCCTTAAGTCATACTTAATTTAATAAAGGCAGTAACAAAGTAATAGGTCCCCCTAACATGATGCAACTATCCCATAATTGTGATTTTGGGGATTTTAGATGTTAGGGATTTGGACTTCAGGGATTTTAATCTTTAGGGATTTAGACTTTAGGGATTTTGATCTTTCATCGTTTAGGATTATGGCATTTGAGACTGTGTCTTTGAGATTATGATCCAAACCCAAAAATATATAATGCTGATAAGAGAGAAGAATCACATACATTCTTTTTCTTTTCTTTCTTTCTTTTTTTTTTTTTTTTTGAGACAGAGTCTCGCTCTATTGCCCAGGCTGGAGACCAGTGGCGTGATCTCGACTCATTGCAAGCTCCGCCTCCCGGGTTCACACCATTCTCCTGCCTCAGCCTCCCAAGTAGCTGGGATTACAGGTGCCCGCCACCTTGCCCAGCTAATTTTTTTTTGTATTTTTAGTAGAGACGGGGTTTCACGTGTTAGCCAGGATGGTCTCGATCTCCTGACCTCGTGATCCGCCCGCCTCGGGCTCCCAAAGTGCTGGGATTACAGGCGTGAGCCACCGCGCCTGGCCTCTTTTTCAGTTTCAAACTGAGACTGGGGTGACCTTCAAAATCCTGCTCTACTTTCTCCTGGAAATTTCAAATTCTCCAGAGTCGTTCCAGTACCTACGTGCTCATGATGTATTTATTGGACAGATGGATGATTGG
The DNA here is from genome assembly GCF_000001405.40 of Homo sapiens. NCBI lineage: Eukaryota > Metazoa > Chordata > Mammalia > Primates > Hominidae > Homo > Homo sapiens. Next base: position 158,713,196 of record NC_000006.12, read on the forward strand.
ATGGGTGGTAATGTAAGATGGATGGATGTTTGGTGGCTAGATGGGTGGATGGATGGATGAATGAATGAGACTTGGATAAGGAAGTGAACTCCTTTCTGTTGTTTTATCTTTTTTTTCTTCTGCTTTGGGAAGTGGAGCCCCTCAGCTCTTGCCTGGTCACCTTGTGGCTTTTACCATCCTCATCCCCTGTGCCACCCACATCCTGCCACTTCTGCATGGAGTTGGGGTGGGGCCATTGGAGAAAAGAGGTTAAACAAGCAGTAATTTACTTGAGTACAGTCTTTGAGCCAATGAAATGCCAGTCATCATTTCCCAGGGGTACTTGTCATCTTGTCAACAACCCGCTGATAATGCTCCTTCAATGTGAATAGCAAAAGTAGGGAGAGACGCTGAATGAAGAAGATGCCTACCCCTCAGGAAGACTGCTGTCCGCCTCCAGGCCTGCATGCACACACCCATGCCCACCTGCACCCCCAGCACCACGCCCACACTCACTCGCACACACCCACATGCCAGTGTTTTGGGGTTGGCAGCCTGGACACTGCTGAGGCAAACACAAGTCATCAAGCATAATTCTCATTCTCTCCTTCTGTCTCTGTTTTAGTTACAGGAATTTGGTCAGTTTAGAGGATTTAATAAGTCCGTGGAAAATTTGTTTCTGTCTCTTGCTACCCACGTGAAAAGTAAGTGCATGCTTCATGATGTGTTTTCCCACTACCTTCCAGGCCAGCCGAGCCCACTGGCCAGGGCCTGGCCGGTGACCTCGGTTGACACTGTCCCTCAGGCCACTCACTTTGTCTCTGGACCCTGGGGAAAGCCACAGCACCTGGCCCTTCATCTCTTTCCCAACAAAGCAGGCCTCTGGTTCCTCATAGGAAGAGAAATGGTGGCTCAGACCTGTAATCCAAGCACTTTGGGAGGCCAAGGTGGGTGGATCACTTGAGGTCAGGAGTTCGAGACCATCTGGCCAACATGGTGAAACCCTGTCTCCACTAAAAATACAAAAATTAGCCAGGCATGGTGGTGGGTGCCTGTAATCCCAGCTACTGGGGAAGCTGAGGCAGGAGAATCACTTGAACCCAGGAGGCGGAGGTTGCAGTGAGCCAAGATCACGCCACTGGACTCCAGCCTGAGCAACAGAGCAAGACTCCGTCTCAAAAAAGAAAAAGAAAAAAAAAAAAAGATGCAATTTCAGGGAATCTAAAACCAGAACCTTTCAGGCCAGTAGGGCCCAATTATCTATCTATTGTCTGCATGGAATTACTTGCCTTTCTCCTCTCCTCCTTGGTAAATGTATTTTCTTCAGTTAGCAGTAATCCTGTGATTTGCAGATGCATGTAACCTAGAACCACCTCCACTTGCAATCTTGTGTCTTTCAATGTTCTTTCTGCTCAGATACTTTTTTCTCTGTTTATCTTAAAATTCAAGTCCCAGAGGACAGACTCCTTTTCATGCCTCCTAAGATGCCCAGGGCTGGTCAGGTGTTTAGAAAATGTCCTTAGTGTGCTCAAGGGTCCTTAGGCATGGATTTCTCTTTCACTGTGTTTCTGCTCGGCTTCTCTTCATCATCCCCTTTTCTGTAGTTGCATGCGGATGGTCTCAGTGCTGCACTTGGCTCTGAGACAGTCTCTTTATGTGACTTTAATTAGTTGTCCGTATTCCTCATGAGCCCTGTGTCAGCTGTCACACGATGACAATGGACATCAAAGCACTGCTCTTCAGATGAGCAGAAACAGTCGTCTCATGCAATGGTCTGTTCCTTTCTTAGGGAGGAAGCAGCTGAATTTCATGGGCCTGTTTGCTAAGAGCGTTTGGTGGCTTAAAAATCACTGTTTCCATCCTGCTGGGCTCTCTGACAGTAACCCCTGCTCTGTGCCCCTTGGCCTGGAACGTGTTTTCCAGCTGTCCCGGCTGCCTCTTCTCTTGTTCTCTTGTGGGTGCTATTTTCCCACCCACCCCCTTGTATTTGTCATGTATGGGTGGGTGCTAGTTCACCTTCCCTGTATGTCTTTCTAGGTGCACAGCCCTTCTCCAAATCTATGTGGCTTCTGTGAATTGTCTTCCACCACTGCCACTATAGAATCAGTGCCTTGGAGTTAGCCCCAACCCTGTCATCCCCCAGCCACCGAAATCCAGAGAGGTGGGACACACACGTCAGCACACATGCACCTTCCTGGATGCTCCCAGCCCTGCACACAGGTTCATTGGATATGCTCACAGCTGTCAGGTGGCCACCCCAGAGCCTGGCCTGTGTACCTGCTCACACACTTGAGCACTTGAGGCTAACCAGTGTAATACCCAGGTGGACAACTAGAGCTAGTCCCTGGGCGAGGTGTGGGGGAATTCACAAGAGCAAAACAGCAAGCATCCCTTCTCAGATATGGAAAGCAGACTGAAACCGCATCACACACACACACACACGCACGCACCCAGCACCCCCCATACCCCCCCACCACCCCCACCCCCTGCCCAGAGGCAGAGATAGAAAACCCCAGCTTTCTGGCTGCTGGGAGTGGTGCTTGGCCTCTGACCTTTCCCGAGTGCTTCCCCTGTTTCTGCAGGAACAGGACACGTGACCACACACACGCCCTTCTCCCGTCTCTGCCACAGGACACTTAGCGTCCTGTAGGCGCTGACTCCTATTTCTTTGGATTTTGAGCTCCTCTTCTCGTGCTCCTATTATCTTATTGGCTGCCTGTTTCCCCACGGAAGTGGGTGCAGAGGGAAGCCTCATTCTGAGGGGAGGAAGATTGGCACCTGAGGTCCTCGGGGAGGGACTGTAGAGGGCCCCAGACTCTTCACTGGCCCAGGTGCTGAAGGGTGGCTTTGCCCCTGAGGGGTTTTGAAAGGTGACCCAGAATTACAACCTCTAGCTGCTGATGCTGCCCAATGAAGTCAAACCAGCGGGAGGAAATGAGTGGCTGCAGCTCTGTCTATTATCAGTACGTTTCTAGAAGATGTCAGCACTGTAGTCCCCCTTAGAAAGGGGAAGAGGAAATGAGAAAACTGGTCTTGCCCAGAAGCAATCTGCATTTCTTTCTCTTCCTTATCCTTTGTCCCCTAATAATACTGACCTATAAGCCTATTTCTTAGAGCCCAAATTTCTCAAGAAGGCTTGTCCTCTCCCCTCATCTGTGAACTTTCAATGGCCCAAATAGGCCCAGGCTTTGGGATGGGCACTAAGAGATTGCTGGGGGACCAGTTCCTCCTAAGGGCTTAGAAATTAGAGCCCCTCACAGCCTCACAGTCCAGACTGAGATGGACCATCTGAGCGTGTCCTTTACTTTGTCCACTTTGAGGACCTGGTGCGTACTAGTGCCTTACGAGCTGCTGGCCTTAGAAAGATCCCCCAGTGTTTCTTGATGGTCACCTTGAGGACATGGGGATGGCATTGCTATCAGAGGAGGCTAGGAGGCATCCTGGTGGAAAAGCTGGACACCCCAGCCGTTCCCTCTTTAGATGAAAGAGATACTGCAAGACTCATTCTTGGGCAGTGTAGGCAGGAGAGAACGAATACATAGTGAGAGGATAGAGGATTCATGCAATAACATCCCAAGGAGGTGGATCCAAAGCCAGCCGGGGGGTCAAGAGCCACAGTGTCCATTGCAGTGGCCTCTAACCACGTGTTGCTCTTGAGCCCCTGAAATAGGGCTGCAAGATGCACTACCAAAGTGAACACACTGGGTTTCAGAGACTTGGAATCCAACAAAAGTAAAATATTTCATGGATAACTTTAATGTTGATGACATTTTTTAATATTTTGGATATATTGTGTTAAACTAAATATAGAATTAAAATTAATTTGGCCAGGCATGGTGGCTTAAGCCTGTAATCCCAGCACTTTGGGAGGCCAAGGTGGGTGGATCTCTTGAGCTCAGGAGTTCGAGACCAGCCTGGCCAACATGGTGAAACCATGGCTAATACAAAAATTAGCCGGGCGTGGTGACACACACCTGTAATCCCAGCTACTTGGGAGGCTGAGGCATGAGAATCACTTGAACCCAGGAGGCGGAGGTTGCAGTGAGCCAAGATCACATCATTGCACTCCATTCTGGGCAACAGAGTGAGACTCTATTTCAAAAATAAATAAGTAAATAGAGTTAATTTTACCTGTTTTTTTTTTTTTAACTTTTTAAATATGGCTACTATAAAATTTAAAATTGTATGTGTGACTTGCATTGTCTCTCTGCCGGACAGCACAGCTCTAGAGACAGTTTTAAGGTCCCCGTTTGGAGGAGTGGGGTTCTCAAGGGAAAATGAAACCATCTTCAGAGGATGAAACTATCTTCAAGGTGGTTCTCTCACTTCTGTATGTGGCTTCCTTCCTTCAAACTTTCTTCATCTTTACTCTAGACCACTATTACACTGTAAAAATGAAACAAATTTGTTTACAGTCATCTTTCCAGGGTTTGTTTATTATAATTGTTATGAGGACACCCCAAATCTTATTTTTACCTCGCTTCAAAAAGTCACAAGAAATGGTGTTAAGTTGTAACATCTTTGTAAGGAACCCCTAGAAAGCCGGCTTGTTTGGTAGGCTGCCGTCTTCGTGTTTGGATGAGTGCACACACATATGTGTGACCTGGAACGCAGAGGAGCTTGGGTGGATGATTTCCCTTCACCTCTCACCCTGACCATGGCCTGGGTGGCCACAGCGGGACCTTGAAGGAAGCCAGCCCTCTCCTGCCCTGACCCAGCACACTGTCTGCTCACCTTCCCAACACCTCTGCACTTGGTGGGGGAATGTGCCGCCCTTGCTCCTCCGTGCACTTTGCCCTCTTAAGACCTTGGGACCCACTGTCTGTGGGTTCAGTGAACCCCAGAAGAGGCTCCCACAAGTCTCAGCAAAGCTGCTTGTTCCCACCCATCAACCCTTGTGTTTGCCTTTTAGAGCTCTCCAAATCCCAGAATGATATGACTTCTGAGAAGCATCTTCTCGCCACGGGCCCCAGGCAGTGTGTGGGACAGACAGAGAGACGGAGCCAGTCTGACACTGCGGTCAACGTCACCACCAGGGTACCCTGAGCCCCACAAGGCCTCCACGCTGATCACCTTCATGTTGTCTTCCAGAACTTTCTAGCCTGCCTTCTCTGTAGATTTATGTTTTCTTTGGTTTTATAGAAAAACAGTAAGCCATCAGAAAAACATAATTACCAGTCAGTGCCTCTATTTGGGCAGGGCTGGCCCAAGGCAGGTCAGGATTGAAGGTCAGTCTGGAAAACTGTTCAGCACAAGGAAAGGCTTCCACCTAATCACAAGCCCCTGAGGCTCCTCTGTGTCCACAGAGCTCCCTGCTGGCTTCAAGCCTGCGCCAAAGCCCAAGGGCTTCCTGCAGGGCCCACACCTGCCGGGTTAGCCCTGGAGTCTGCAAGACCAGCAGCCTTTGGTTAAAATCTATCCTGACCTCTGATGGAAACTATTGAAAACGTAAAGGCGCGAGCAAGCCTGTGGGGGCGCTCTTCCCCCGCTGTCCACACCACAAGTGAGAGCTCCCTTAGTAAAGGCTTCTAGGGAAATAATTATTCCACCTTCCCACCAGGACTAACCCAGCCTGGAGTGAACGCTTCGGGTATGAGAGAGAGCCAACCTTAGAATGGGAAAGCCCGCATTCTAGTTCAGCTGAGGTGCCTTGGCTGGGCAGGTGCCACCAGCTGTTGCTTGCAGTGTTGATGTGACTGCCCTGGTAGGCTGGACAGAACTGGTGTCCCTTCTCTGCTGCTGTGGACTCCACTCAGGCTGTCCCCAGACAGACTGTCCTTTAGGCGAGGGTGTGAGGTCAGCCCCCCTCTCCTGCTGGAACTTGCACACAGCCTCTTGAGAGTTCACGTCCTGCCTCCCGCTCCAGCCCAGTGCGCCCCTCTGTAAAATGAAGATGATAATACCTGTTCTGCGCACAGCACAAGGTTTTGTAAACATCTAATGAGATAATGTAGTATCTTGATTTGCTATCTAAGTCATCTAAATATTTTATCTAAATTGCCAGCATTGACTATGATGTGCTGGACTCTGTACTAATAGCTTAACTAGGCTATCTCATTTTATCTTCATAACCACCATCTAGGGTAGGTATTGCATGCAGCCTCATTTTACATGTAAAGAAATGGAGGTTTAGATTAAGTCACCTGCCAAAGGTTGTATAGCCAAAAGAGGACTGAACTCTGAGGCAGTGATTCCCAGCTCTTATGAGTATAGGGGGTCACTGGGGCTCTTAAAATGCAGATTCCAAATCAGTAGCTGCGGGGTGGACGTGAGATGAGGAACCGCAGATGCATTTTTGGTGAACTCCTGGGATCTGGCGAAGTCTATGCTGTGAAGTTCTCAGACCACACTTCAGGAGCGAGGTGTCTAGACAGTTTGAAATGTATTTGGCAGGTGTTTGAAATTCTATAACACAAGTGTCAGCTCCTGTCAGCTTCCCGGGGTCTACAGAAGCTCCCTCCGAACTCCCTCCGGGGATCACTCCTTCTAGTGAAACAGGTGGAGGGGAGGGTTAGCAACCATATGAAGCCCTGTGTGCCACACGTGGTGGCAGCATTGCTTCTTACCTACTTCATCACATTTAATTCTCACAAAAATACCGTGGTAGACATTGTTACTCCCATGATAAAGATCGGCCGAGCCTGGTGGCTCATGCCGGTAATCCCAGCACTTTGGGAAGCCGAGGTGGGCAGATTGCTTGAGCCAAGGAGTTGGAGACCAGCCTGGGCAACATGAGAAAACCCTGTCTCTACAAAAATACAAATATTAGCCGGGTGTGGTGTCACATGTCTATAATCCCAGCTACTAGGGAGACTGAGGTGGGAGGATCGCTTGAGCCCAGGAGGTCAAGGCTGCAGTGAGCCATGGTTGCACCACTGCACTCCAGCCTGGGTGACAGAGTGAAACCCTGTCTCAAATAATAATAAATTAAAAATTTTAAAAATTGGCCGGGCACCATGGCTCATGCCTGTAATCCCAGCACTCTGGGAGGCTGAAGTGGGTGGATCACCTGAGTTCAGGCGTTCGAGAGCAGCCTAGCCAACATGGTAAAACCCCGTCTCTACTAAAAATACACAAATTAGCCAGGCTCATGGCGGGTGCCTGTAATCCCAACTACTCAGGAGGCCGAGGCAGGAGAATCTTTGCTTGAACCTAGGAGGCAGAGATTGCAGTAAGCCGGGATCGTACTGTTATACGCTCCAGCCTGGGTGACAAGAGTGAAACTTTGTCTCAAAAAAAAAAAAAAAAAAAGCCTGAGTTTTAGTGAGAGGTTGACCAACGTGCCTAATGTCACATAGTGAATGAGAGATGGAGCCAGGAGCAGACCTGGGATTTGACTCTGAATTCTAAACTCTATGTTCCCATAAGAAGGACAAATGAGGACCGCTGAAGAAAGAGGGTTCAGGAAGGGGCGTGTGGAAGCATGAGTAATTATCTTACTTGCTTGAGTCACAGGAAACCACTCAGAGGCTAACACTGACTTGGGGTTAACCAGATGCCTGGCATTGTTCTCAGCGTAATGCCCTTCAGAGGTATTTAGCCTTTGTAATCCTTAAGACAGCCCTATGAAGTTGGTACTGTTCCTGTCCCTACTAAAGACAGGGACACTGGGGCAAAGAGATGACCAAGAGCTAGGTGAAGCCTGCTCCAGAGACCAACCACACCCTGTCCACGCCCCAGAGGTGAGACGCATTTCCCATTTGCACCGTGATGTGCTGTGTGGTGGCTCATCCCACGCACCACAGGCTGGGCTTGTGGCGTTCTGCATGAGGATGGCCCGTGGGTCCTCGGCACGCCCCCTCCCCTGCTGCATGTGCACATGGCCCAGAGCCTGGCCAGGGTTGTCTGAAGGGCTAAGGGAGCTCAGGGATAGAAGTGGTGGGGTGCAGGGGAGACGGTGGGGAGACAGTGGGGAGAGAGCCAATCCAAGTAGACATTGTTATGCGTGTGTCCACTTCTCAGCCATGCTCTTGGCAGGAACGCTTCCAACTTTCTGCAGGCCTTCTCTCTCCCCACCTTAATTGAGGTTGTGGCTGGGTTGGTTTCTTTGTTTCATTTTGAGACCAAGTCTCGCTGTCTTGCCCAGGCTGGAGTGCAGTGGTGATATCGTGGGTCACTGTAGTCTCGATCTCGAAGGCTTAAGTGATCCTCCCACCTCAGCCTCCCAAGTAGCTGGGACTACAGGGATATGGCACCATGCCTGGCTGATTTTTTTTAATTTTTATTTTTAGTAGAGATGTTGCCCAGGCTGGTCTCAAACTCCTGGGCTCAAGCAATCCTCCCACCTAGGCCTCCCAAAGTGCTAGGATTACAGGTGTGAGCCACCACGCCCAGCCAGATATGGCTGTTATAAGGGACAATTTAGCCAAATGTTTATAAAGTACTCAGCAATGATAGTATGATCTATAAATGCTAAATAACTATTGGGTTGAAATATAAGGAGTACACTTCTATTTATTTATTTTTATTTATTTTTGAGACAGAGTCTCATTCTGTTGCCCAGGCTGGAGTACGATGGCACAATCTTGGCTCACTGCAACCTCTCCCTCCCCAGTTCAAGTGATTCTCATGCCTCAGCCTCTTGAGTGGATAGGATTACAGGCATGCACCACCACACCTGGCTAATTTTTGGATTTTTAGTAGAAATGGGGTTTTGCTGTGTTGCCTAGGGTAGTCTCAAACTCCTGAGCTCAATCGGATGCCTGCCTTAGCCTCCCAAAGTGCTGGGATTACAGGTGTGAGCCGCTGCGCCTGGTCCAGGAGTACGTCTTTAAATAGAACATTCATCAGACTGCAATTACACATGCCTTAGCTGGGGAGCTCACCAAAATTCCTCTCATTTTCATCAGATTATTAATATTTCATCAATATTAATTATAGAACACGGTGGCCCTGCTTTGGAAGTAGAGGATGCTGGTGCCCACCTTGCAAGTGGCTACACTGAGGCACAGAAGTAGTAGATAACTTTCTTTTTTTGTTTGTTTGTTTGTTTGTTTGTTTTTTTGAGACAGGGTCTTACTTTGTCACCCAGGCTGGAGTGTAGTGGTGCAAACACAGCTCATTGTAGCTTCTACCTCCTGGGCTCAGGTGATCCTCCCACTTCAGCACCCCCGAGTAGCTGGGACTACAGGAGTACACCACTCTGCCCAGCTAATTTTTGTATTTTTTCTAGAGATAGGGTTTTACCATGTTGCCCAGACTGGTCTTGAATTCCTGGGCTCAAGTGATCCTCCCACCTTAAAATCACGCGGTGACTCGGGGATGTTAACTGAGAAAACAGCTCAGGATCTTTTCCACACCACTTCTCTGTTAAGTTTGAACCACATGTTCTGAAAACACCCCTTCAAAAATGCTGACTTAAGCATCTGGGCCAGAATTCTTCAAGAAGTGAATTCTTACCTCTCCTCTTCTGTGCATTCCACTGGGATTTTATTGTATATGTTATGAATGTACAGTATTGACCTATATTGGCCATAAAAACATGCACCTGTTAAACAGGAAGGATGCCTAAAAACCGTCAGGAGGGGCTATCTCTGGGGAGGGGAACTGAGGACAGAGGTGGAGGAAAAAGATTTTCTCTCTTTTCTGTTTTTTTTTTTTTTTTTTTTTTTTTTAAGATGGAGTCTCGCTCTGTCACCCAGACAGCGAGCGAACAGTCTGGGCTCACTGCAACCTCCGCCTCCCAGGTTCAAGCCATTCTCCTGTCTCAGCCTCCTGAGTAGCTAGGACTACAGGCGCCTGCCACCACACCCAGCTAATTTTTGTATTTTTAGTAGAGACAGGGTTTCTCCATTTTGGCCATGCTGGTCTTGAACTTCTAACCTCAGGTGATCTGCCAGCCTCGGCTTCCCAAAGTGCCGGGATTACAAGTGTGAGCCACCATGCCTGGCCAGTTATTCTTTTTAACAGCTACTCTTTTTTTTTTTTTTTTTTTTTTTGAGACAGAGTCTTGCTCTGTCGCCCAGGCTGGAGTGCAGTGTCATGATCTCGACTCACTGCAACCTCTGCCTCCCGGGTTCAAGTGATTCTCCTGCCTCAGCCTCCTGTGTAGCTAGGACTACAGGCACGTGCTAATTTTTATATTTTTAGTAGAGACAGGGTTTCACCGTGTTAGCCAGGTCTCAATCTCCTGACCTCGTGATCTGCCTGCCTCAGCCTCCCAAAGTGCTAGGATTACAGGTGTGAGCCACCAAGCCCAGCCTAACAGCTACTTTTTAAGGCTTTTAGTTCATGCTGCCAAGTTGCCCTCCACTGACGTTGACTCCATTTACCTGACCACTGGCAAGGCAGAGTCACGTGTTTTCCAGCACTCTTGCCAACATTCAACTTTGTACCTTTTTTTTTCCTCGAAATGTTTATTATAGTAAAATACACATAAGACTTACCATCTGTGCCGTTTTAAGTGTATAGTTCGCGGCATTGAAAACATTGCTAATGTTGTGCACCTGTCACCACCATCCATCTCCAGGACTTTCTTCTAGTAAAACTCAACTTTATAATTTTTAACATTTGCCAATATAATGGGCAGTTATTTAAAATGTGCCTTTCTTTAACTGCAGGTAAGCTTTTTCTCCTACTTTTTCCTCTGGCACACCTTCATTCTTGAACCCCTCCCATTGGATCTTCTGGCTTTTCCAGCCTCTGGCTCCTCCGCTGTAGCTTTGATTGACACTTCTGTCACACCTTTAGTGTCCCCTCAGACAACATCACACATCCCCTATGTGTTTGTGATCTGTGTCCACGTGTCTACGTGTCTGTAGGTCTAGGACGTGCTTTCTGTTTAACCGTCACCAGCTGCTCCAGGTGGAAGGCCTTCCCTCTCAGGCTTACCCCAGCCAGCCTCAGCATCCTCTCGGGTGATTGCAGCCTCACTGAAGACCATCCCCCAGAGGCCTGCGTGCTGGAGAAACTGTCCCTGGCCTCTTTCCCATTGACCTGGCTGGTGCTTCCATTTGAATGGTGTCTCTGTCTTCCTACTAGCTAGTGAGCCCTTGGAGGATGGACGTTTCATCTTCTCCTCTTTCTTCTCTCTTCCTCCCCTTCTACTCTTCCAGCCCCCAGAATTTAGCATAGTGCTGTGAATATAGTGTTGCTTAATAAATAAATGTCTGTAGGAATTAAGTTGGCATTCTGGGGATGGAAAGCATAAATAATTTGGAGGTAATCCTTTCTTTCATTTGTTCTATCATATTCTCACTTAGTATTTTCTTCCTGAAAATTATGACTGTGGGGCAACTGTTGTATTTCTGAGTTCTGCTTTCAACCCACCACCAAAAACTAAAGTCTCCACTTGGAAACTGTATATTTTCAGTCATTAAGAGGTTTTCCCACCTTGCCCATTGTGTTCCAATGGAACTTTTCTGCAGGGATGGGAATGATCTTTATGTGAGCTGTCCACACAATGCCCAGGGCTGCATGTGGCCATGGAGCATTTGAAATGGGTCTAGCGCAACTGAGAAGTTAAGTTTGTTTGATTTCAATTAATTTAAGTAGTCATGTGTGGCTAGTGACTACCATATTGGAAAACACAACTGTATACATCATAGAAATGTCAGCTTGGCTGTGTGTGGTGGCTCACGCCTGTAATCCCAGCACTTTGGAAGGCTGAGGCATGTGGATCACTTGAGGTCAGGAGTTTGAGGTCAGCCTGACCAACATGGTGAAACCCCATCTCTACTAAAAATACAAAAATTAGCCAGGTGTGGTGGCACATGCCTGTGGTCCCAGCCACTTGGGAGGTTGAGGCAGGAGAATTGCTTGAACCCGAGAGATGGAGGCTGCAGTGAGCCAAGATTGTGCCACTGCACTGCAGCCTCCAGTGTGGGTGACAGAGCAAGACTCCGTCTCAAAAAAAGAAAGAAAAAATAAAAAAAGCATCAACTGTTAGCAAAGTATTTTTAGAAAATTTAGAGACATATTTTGATTTTTCCCTTTTTATAAGCATCTTAGAGCTAAAACTCTGCTTATCAGGCTAATTATTATATATCAAGTGATTAAATGCCAGGACCATTTATTAAGGCTAAAATTTGGACTTAAGACTTTTACTAATCCACGAGTAATCTACCCATGACTGTTCATGACTATCCCAAAGCTGGATGTTGTCTGTCTCTGGGCCCTGTGTGCTCGCATGCGCGTGTGTGGTGTGTGTGTGCGTGTGTGTGTGTGTGTGCGCACGTGCACGCATTTACCAAATGCAGGTGTGTCCTCCTACTCAGAAGTTTGCATGTTAGTAACATCAAGTCATAGATGCTTGCTGAAGTCACCACATTTGAACAAAACCAAACTGGGATGGAGACTATAATATTAATTTCTGTTTTTCCTTCTCCAGAAGGTCAGTGCACCAGATATTCTGAAACCTCTCAATCAAGAGGATCCCAAATGCTCTACTAACCCTATTTTGAAGCAACAGAATCTCCCATCCAGTCCGGCACCCAGTACCATATTCTCTGGAGGTTTTAGACACGTGAGTCTCATTCCAATGCTCTTTTTTTGTTTTTTTGTTTTTTGTTTTTTTGGAAAGCATAATGTACAAGTCCTTATTTCAATTACTCCTATTTGAAGGTCCTTATTTTTGGAGAACAGCAAGGCATTTTATTATCCATCCTTCCATTCCTTAAAGGCTTCCACAGGTTTTAGTAAAGTTGCGTTATCCTCAGGCCTGTGTCTTGGAGTTACTCCAGGTGTGTCAGCAGATTCATTATCAATCCACTCCACCAGTGCTCTGTAGCTTTCTATAATGCAGCATTCTGCAACTCGCGTAAACAGATAGGGCAGGAGGGCGCCGGTCAGCTTCTTCCAAGTGGTTGGAGCTGCGTTAGGCATGCAAGCCACTGACAGTGTCGCAGTCCACGTGTGTGTCCAATCTCATGTGTTAAAATCTTACAGGATCAATGTAGTGAAACATTAGTTCTTTCCAGAATGTAATAGTTATCAAAAATTGAATAGTCAGTTGAAGATGTTTTCTGTCACTTCCTCCCTTTGCCTTCATAGCACAAGCTATAAAAATCACTGCCATACTTAGCAAAGCTGAATATCCCTACACCATCTGTCAAAGAGGCCTGTCCAAAGACAAAATTTCAGGAGTCTCTTGGGTAAAGATCAATCATTGTTATCCCCATGACACAGGCGTCTTCAGGTTTCTTCTTTTTTAAGAACTTCAAGATGTCCCCTGCATGAACTTGTAGGCTTTGTTTGTGAATTATCATTGGCTCTAAAGGAACACCTCATTGCAGAAACAGGAACCAGTTCTAGGAGGTTTGCTCTCAAGCCGTAGAATTATGCCTCCCAATAGGCCTTGAGCCATTTCATAGATTCTTCATTGATAATTCTGGTGTTTCCTAGAGATCCAGCGGACTGAATATAAATACTCATTTGTCTGGAGAGAGTGTCTTTCTGTAAGGGCCACTGAAGAACTGTTCAAAGTCTTGGGGAGCCTCTGGATGGGAAGTGATCTAATATGATTGGGAATGCAAAGTAATGGGTCCAAAGAGATCACTGGCTGGCTGGAAGCCTTCGTTCATTCAGCACTGTTTTCCCCAGCATCTAATTTCCCATACTGTGACACAAGGCCTGGGATCTTTGAGATGGAGATGTTTTCAGTGTCTGTTCAGAGTGCCATACTGTTTGCATAATGACAGATCTCTTCTGTTAACATCGTGTTCCTAGGTTGAACTTTCTTTTTTTTTTTTTTTTTGAGACAGAGTATTGCTCTGTCACCCAGGCTAGAGTGCAGTGGCGCGATCTTGGCTCACTACAAGCTCCGCCTCCCAGGTTCACGTCATTCTCCTGCCTCAGCCTCCCAAGTAGCTGGCACTACAGGCGCCCGCCACCACACCCGGCTAATTTTTTTGTATTTTTAGTAGAGACGGGGTTTCACCATGTTAGCCAGGATGGTCTCGATCTCCTGACCTCGTGATCCACGTGCCTCGGCCTCCCAAAGTGCTGGGATTACAGGCGTGAGCCACCATGCCCAGCTGAACTTTCTTTATTTTAATTTTATTTATTTATTTATTTTTTGAGATGGAGTCTTACTGTGTTGCACAGGCCAGAGTGCAGGCTGGTGCCATCTCAGCTCACTGCAGCCTCCGCCTCCCAGTTCAAATGATGGTCATGCCTGTCTCCTGAGTAGCTGGGATTACAGGCGCCCACCACCACGTCTGGCTAATTTTTGTATTTTTAGTAGAGATGAGTTTCACCACGTTGGCCAGGCTGGTCTCGAACTCTTGACCTCAAGTGATCTGCCTGCCTCGACCTCCCAAAGTGCTGAGATTACAGGCATGAGCCACCGCACCCGGCCTAGAACTTTCATTCTTCCTTTTAAATGGGTCAAACAGGTGTTCGGCCATGAGGCTTTATTAGGAAGAAGGCATCCTTCTGAGGTTTTTACCTTATAAGGATGGACATAGCTGGGCCTGGCCGGAAAAGTGTTGTGGAGGGAATCTTCACCCACCAGGCCTCGAGGCCACCCGCCCACCTCCCATGGCCGTTCTCATGTGCGTGTCTCATCCAAGTACTCTTTTTTTTTTTTGAGATGAAGTCTCCCTCTGTTGCCCAGGCTGGAGTGCAGTGGCACGATCTCAGCTCACTGTGACCTCCGCCTCCCAGGTTCAAGCAATTCTCCTGCCTCAGCCTCCCGAGTAGCTGGGATTACAGGCATGAGCCACTGTCCCCAGCCCCAACTACTCTTGATATGTGCGGCATGGTTATGACATCAGTAGACAAGGGGAGGGATGAGCTGTCGCCTTGTGAGAGAAACTGGAATGTGACAATAGAACTTGGAAGTGATATTTTACTTAGGTTGGGATTTGGGGAAACCCTTGCTATACTTTGAGAGTGGTTTTCTTTTTTACATCTTATGATGAACATTTTCATACATATGGGAGTAATAATAAATATTGGTGTCTTTTGATTTTGTGTTTTTATAATTTTGATGAAGTCTGATTTGGCAGCATGTTCTTTTACGGTTAAGTCTGTGTCTCGTCCATCTGCAAGTCATGAAGATATTCTCCCATGTTTTCATCTAGAAATTTAGAAAAGTTTAGCTTTTACCTTCAGGGCTGTGCTCCAGCTCGTTACTATTTTTGTGTGTGAGTGAATGGTGTAAGGTAGAGATTGGGGCTCATTTTTTTCCATATGGATATTTAGTCAACCTAATACCACTTGTTAAAAAAAAAAAGAAAAAAAAAGACTGTTGTATCCCACAGTGACTTTGGCATCTTGGTTGGAAATCAAATGTCCACATAAGTGTGGATCTCCTTATGGACTCTCTGTTCTGCTCCAGTGATCTCTTCGTCTGTCCTTATGCCAAGACCACACTATCCTGAGTACTGTATCTTTGTAGTAAGTCTTGAAGTTGGATATTATAAGTCTTCCAATTTGGTTCTTCTTTTTCAAGATTGCTTTGTGATGTTTTAAATGTATTCTCTGTGTATAGGTAGGCATTTTAATTCATTCGTTCATTCATTTGTTTATTAAAAAACATTAAGGCCGGGCGCGGTGGCTCATGCCTGTAATCCCAGCACTTTGGGAGGCCAAGGCGGGTGGATCATGAGGTCAGGAGATCGAGACCATCCTGGCTAACAAGGTGAAACCCCTTCTCTACTAAAAATACAAAAAATTAGCCGGGCGCGGTGGCGCCACTGCACTCCAGCCTGGGTGGCTAACATGGTGAAACCTCGTCTCTATTAAAAAAATATAAATAAATAAAACACAAAAAATTAGCCAGGCGTGATGGCAGGCGCCTGTAGTCCCAGCTACTCAGGAGGCTGAGGCAGGAGGCTGAGGCAGGAGGATGGAGTGAACCTGGGAGGTGGGGCTTTCTGTGAACCAAGATCACGCCACTGCACTCCAGCCTGGGCGACAGAGCGAGACTCTGTCTCAAAAAACAAATAAACAAAAAACATTGAGTGTTTACTTTTTTGCCTAGAATTGTGACGCATGGTATAATAGGTGGATTCTTGGGTGAGGGGCCATAATGCTTCAATTAACACTTGTGTTAGTCCATCCATGTTGCTGTAACAAAATATCACAGGCTGGGTAATTTATAAACAATAGAAATTTATTTTTCATGGTCCTAGACACTGGGAAGTTCAGGATCTCAAGGCATGGACAGGACTGGTGTCTAGTGGTCTGCTCCTCATAGATGGCTCTAAGTCTCTTCCTCACATGGTGAAAAGGATGGAAGGGCAAGAGGGTCCAGTGCTGTGTGCAGCCTCTTATAAAGGCCTGAATCCCATTCACTAGAGCCCCACCCTCATGACTTATTCAGTTCCCAGAGGCCCCACCTCTTCATACTATCACATTGGCAATTACATTTCAACATGTGGATACTTGGATCTTTCAAGCTGCCTGCTTAGCCCCTTTCCAAGTGTACTGTACTTTACTTTCTTTTTCTTTTTTTTTTTTTTTTTTGAGACAGAGTCTCGCTTTGTCACGTAGGCTGGAGTTTAGTGGTGCGATCTCAGCTCACTGCAAGCTCCGCCTCTCTGGTTCACGCCATTCTCCTGCCTCAGCCTCCTGAGTAGCTGGGACTACAGGCGCCCGCCACCACGCCCGGCTAATCTTTTGTATTTTTAGTAGAGACAGGGTTTCACCGTGTTAGCCAGGATGGTCTTGATCTCCTGACCTTGTGATCCGCTCGCCTTGGCCTCCCAAAGTGCTGGGATTACATATATAAGCTACTGCACCCGGCCAACGTTTTTTTTTTAAAGTTTCCTTTTTTTTGTTAAAGGATAATAATAAATGTTAAAAATAATAATTTCTTTTAAAGACTTTCTTCAAGCCTCCTTGCTTTGTGCTCATAACTCTTTGTTAAGCCCTATCCTATGTAGCTGTTAGATACAAAGGAATAAGTACATTCTGTGTCCTTGTACTTTAACCAAGATATTTGTGCTGAATATGCTCACAGGCACATTCCAGCTTGCAGCCTATGCCCCTTCCTTATTTGGAAATACTACTTTTCTAAGTCCTTTTGCAAGCAACTTCCTCTTTTCCTTTGTTCTCTATTGCCTATACCTATTTTTAAAAGTTTTAAATTATTAGCCAGTCAGGTTTTAGATTGTAAGGTCTGGCTCCAGCCAATGGAGACAAAACACAGCAGCGGGGACAAGCTGCGTAAAGGATAAAAATTGCTTCCCTCCATTGTTCAGGTGTGCTGTCGTCATTGTTCCATCTGTAAGGAGCACCCTTTCTGCAGAAAGTAAAATTGCCCTGCTAAAAAAACTTTTTGTCTAAATGCTAATTTTTCCTTATAGTAGTAAGGAACAAGCATTCTGTTTCTAAATAAACATTTTACTTATAACAAAATGGTGGCCCGTACGGGGATACACTCCTCCAGGGGCGGTCTCTAGTCCTCTCTCATGAGGAGGCGCCCCACTGCCTCGTTGCGGTGGCCTCTGGGGTAAGGAATCGAGACCCACCCTGTGTGACGAATAAACCTGGACTCTCAGCAACGCGGAAAGAAAGCAGCCAGTAACCTGGAGTGCAGGGTCCTCACATACCACGCGGGCCAGGTAACCTCATGCATAAGACAAGGAAGGAAATACCGGAGGAGCTGGTAAAATATTTCCTTGGTGGTCAGGACTAAGGAAAGAAAAGCTGCGGGGCGGTAAAGCATTCCTTGGTTAGGACATACCTAGGTAAGAGAAACCGCAGGGGCGGTAAAGCATTCCTTAGGACTGAAGAAAGAAAAGCCGCCAGGGGGCGGGTCGGGGTGGGGCGGTGAAGTATTCCTTAGTCAGGATGTCTTAAGGGTTAAAAAGAGGTGAAAAGTCCCCATTAGGGGGGAGATTAAACATCACACAAACCTCCAGTAGTAAAAAAGATATTCGGGCCGGGCGTGGTGGCTCACGCCTGTAATCCCAGCACTTTGGGAGGCTGAGGCAGGTGGATCACGAGGTCAGGAGATCGAGACCATCCTGGCCAACAAAGTGAAACCATGTCTCTACTAAAAATACAAAAAATTAGCCGGGCATGGTGGCGGGCGCCTGTAATCCCAGCTACTCGGGAGGCTGAGGCAGGAGAATAGCTTGAACCCGGGAGGCGGAGGTTGCAGTGAGCCGAGATCACACTATTGTACTCCAGCCTGGGCCACAGAACAAAACTCCATCTCAAAAAAAAACAAAACAAAAAAACTAAAAGTCTTTTAGCACAGGTCCTACCCCTAGAATTTCCAGCACAACAGCACCACCCTGGGGACCACGTCCTCATCAAAAAATAAAAAGAAAAAAAACTCAAGCTAGCCTAGGAAGGACCCTACCTTGTGCTGCTAACCACCAAGACTGCCTTTGCACAGCAAAAAAAGGATGGACACATCATACCCAAGTCAAAAAAGCATCATCACCTTCAGAATCATGGGCCATTGTTCCAAAGTTATCTCTCTTTTTCTTTTCTTCCCTTTACTTCCCATCTTATAACTAATTTTTGTTGTCGTTGTTGTTGAGATGGTGTCTCGCTCTGTCACCCAGGCTGGAGTGCAGGGGTGCAATCTCAGCTCACTGCAAGTTCTGCCTCCCGGGTTCACGCCATTCTCCTGCCTCAGCCTCCCAAGTAGCTAGGACTACAGGCGCCCGCCACCATGCCTGGCTAATTTTTTGTATTTTTAGTAGAGACGGGGTTTCACCGTGTTAGCCAGGATGATCTTGATCTCCTGACCTCATGATCCACCCACCTTGGCCTTCCAAAGTGCTGGGATTACAGGCGTGAGCCACCGTGCCTGGCCAACATAACTAAATCTAACTCACCTCAAGTTATTACTTTTAATGCCTGTTTAATTATGCCTTATAAAGATTTACATAACCAAAAACAGCTTACTACTTCAGAAAAATATCTCTGTCCCTCTTGGACTTCCTCAAATTAGGAAGACATAGTAAGTTCCTTTAAGAATACTAGTAATCCAGAGAATAGTAGCTGTATTAGTAAAAATCAGACTCTTGTCCTTCTGAAACAAAATCTCTATGTTCTGCTTAGTCTAATGTCCTATACAACACTAAAGGTTTAAAATAGACTGCTTCCATAGGTCTTTGTCAGTCCTTAAATCCATATATCCATTTCACCAAAAGAATTACTCCTTCTAGTTGTCAATCTCCTTCAACCACTCCATCAATCACTCCTCCCAAGCACAAGGACAAGACTGAAGTCTCTATAGTAAAGGTGAAAAACCTAAGGCAAACGATAGCAATGAAGACAAGGTATCAAAATATAAATGCCTGGCTAAAATGGATTAAATATTCCATCCGCACTCTAAATAAAAGCGACTGTTACGCGTGTGCGCACGGTAGGCCAGAGGCCCAGCTTGTCCCCTTTCCACTCGGACAGTCCTCTAATCGACAAGACGTAGACTGCATAGTAGGTCCTTTTCAAAATCCCACAGCCTAGGATAGTAAACTGTGCCAGACTCTCTCTGCTATTTCCTAAAGTGCAGTACCCTGCAGGTCAGCCCTCAAGGGCCATCCAGCCTCCATCTTCCAAGACCAGTTTTACCTCGTGTCTCCAATGACGAAGGAAAAATTTGGCGTACCTTAAAGACTTAATAGGATGCAGTAACGTCAGGCACTTCCAAGAGCTAACCCATCAGTCCACCCTTATTCATCTCCAAGTGAACGTATGTTAGTATTGTAAAAAACCTTTACTAGACACTCTGCCAAATAATTAAAGCAGTACTTATGCTGTAGTTCAATTGGCTATCCCTTTTACCCTGGCATTTCATCAACCAAAAAAACTCTTTCTTTTAAAAACTCAAGCAAAACAGCTAAGCCAAAACATGTTTTAAAAGTTTAAAAAGAAAAAAAAAAAAAACACTGTAAAATCAAAAGGAGGGAATTGTAGAAAGTAAAAAGTTTCCTTTTCAGTTTCCTTTCTGGTAATAATAATAATGTTAAAAATAATAATTTCTTTTAAAAACTAACTTCCTTCAAGCCTCCTTGCTTTGTGCTAATAACTCTTTGTTAAGCCCTATCCTATGTAGCTGTTAGATATAGAGAAATAAGTACGTTCTGTGTTCTTGTACTTGAATGAAGATATTTGTGCTGAATATGTTCACAGGCACATACAGCTCGCAGCCTATGCCCCTTCCTTATTTGGAAATATTATTACTTTTCTAAGTCCTTTCACAAGCAACTTTCTCTTTTCCTTTATTCTCTATTGTCTATACTTTTTTTATTTTTTATTTTTTGAGATAGAGTCTTGCTCTGTCACCAAGGCTTGAGTGCAGTGGCCCAACCTCAGTTCACTGCAAGCTCCGCCTCCCAGGTTCACGCCATTCTTCTGCCTCAGCCTCCCTAGTAACTGGAACCACAGGTGCCCGCCACCACGCCCGGCTAATTTTTCTGTATTTTCAGTAGAGACAGGGTTTCACTGTGTTAGCCAGGATGGTCTTGATCTCCTGACCTCGTGATCCGCCCTCCTCGGCCTCCCAAAGTGCTGGGATGACAGGCGTGAGCCACCGTGCCCGGCCACCTCTACCTATTTTAAAAAGTTTTAAGTTGTTAGCCAGTCAGGTTTTAATTTAAATTGTAAAGTCTGGCTCCAGCCAGTGGAAACAAGACACTGTAGCAAGGCCAAGCTGTGTAAAGGATAAAAATTGCTTCCCTCCATTGTTCAGGTGTGCTCTCGCCATTGTTCCATCTCCAAGAAGCACCCTTTTGGCCGGGCGCGGTGGCTCACGCCTGTAATCCCAGCTCTTTGGGAGGCCGAGGAGGGCGGATCACGAGGTCAGGAGATCAAGACCATCCTGGCTAACACGGTGAAACCCCGTCTCTACTAAAAATACAAAAAAATTAGCCAGGCGTGATGGCGGGCGCCTGTAGTCCCAGCTACTTGGGAGGCTGAGGCAGAATGGCGTGAACCTGGGAGGTGGAGCTTGCAGTGAGCCGAGATTGCGCCACTGCACTCCAGCATGGGCAACAGAGCGAGACCCTGTCTCAAAAAAAAAAAAAAAAAAAAAAGAAGCACCCTTTCTGCAAAAAGTAAAATTGCCTTGCTAAAAAAAACCTTTTTGTCTAAATGCTATAGTACCAAAAAACAAGCATTCTGTTTCTAAATAAACATTTTACTTATAATAGGGGTGGAGGGGTTGGGATGAGACTGTGCCTTCATAGACAGCCAGTGGGCCAGTTTCTACTAATCTGCCCAGGGTCCCACTAGATTGGAGTCTGAGCTCCTTCAAGGGCCAGAATCACATCCTTGTAGCCCTAGAAACCAACACATAGCCAAGTACGTGGGCTTGGATCCACCCCATGACAGCCGGTGGGATCCTGTGTGACCTGCCCACCACTCTGGCCCGACCTCACCAGCTCTCACCTACCCCATCGCTCATTCCACTCAGCTGCAGGGCCACTGACTGGTGCTGGGACCCCCAGACACATCCCACCTCCAGGCATTTCTGTACCCTTCCCTCCCAGACATCACAAGTCATGCAGTCCCTTCCTTTAAGGCTTTGTTCCAAGCCACCTTCTCAGGGAGCTCCCCCTGCCCCACTCCCCCCACCTGCTCTATGTTAATCCATGTCCTCACCACCCCGACATGCTATAGAGTTGGCTCATCTGTTGGGTATTGTCTGTGTCACCTCCCCACTAGACTCTAATTCCCAAGAGCTGTATCCAACACTTAAATGGCCTCAATAAATGTTTGTTGAGTGATTGGGTTAATCCTAATCATAGTTACCATTTATTGAAAGCCCAAGGCAGGTGCTTCACAGCTCAGTCATTCTCACAAAGATCTTGTTATGGAAGGTGCTGTTATCCCATTTCACAAATGAGGAACCTGAGGTTCACAGAGTTTAAAGCGACTTGCTGAGGTCCTGAGATGACTGTAGAACTCTGATTCAAACCAGGGGCCTGGGGAGTCCATACCGGGGAGTCCAGGCTTTTCACACTATCCCACAGGCGTTTTGTACTCTTACATTGAGCAGTTTTCCTGACCCATGCTGCCTGGTTCAGCCTCACTCACTCAGGGCCAGTCCACACGTAGAAGCAGGGAACCAGGATGCTAGCCTAGGGAGAGGTGGGGTGAGCAAATCCATCTTAGTCCCTTTGCTGCTTAGGGACTTTTTGTTGGAAAACAAAAATTTGTTTTTAACAGCCCCATCAGTGGCATATGAGATTATGCAATTCCCCATATACTCATTAACTTTGAGTATTAATCAGATTTTACACATACACACATGGATGATGTTAATTTTATAATTATTAACTATGCCTAACTAAATCATAGTGCAAATTCAGTAGGGCTGTCTATTCTCACCCATTTTTCTAAAGTTTTCTCTGATTTGTGCCCTTAAAATTTATAATCATGTTACTATGCATTGAATCGTAACCTGTTCCCTTTAGGCTGAAGCAGCATTTATTTGAGGAAACTGAACTCCCACAAAACAAACCACTGATTATTGCTTCTTGCTAAAGGTGTTGCCTTCCCTTCTGAGAAATATTTACATTCTCTGAGAAACAAGGATCGGAGTAAAAACAAAAAACAAAAAACCCAGCTTATTAAAATTCCACTTATTACAGAAGTATAAAGCCAGATCTAGACAACAAATAGGGAAAATCATTTAACCTCCCAAGTAGGCAAATCAGTGCAAAATTAAAGCAAGCTGTTATTTTGGGACCACTTTAGTAAATTTTAAAAATAATAGAGCTCCGTGTTGGTAAGGTGTAGGGTAGCAGGCGTTCTTACAAACTGCAGGGTGAGCAGAAACTGTTACAACTTTTCTAGAGGGCAATTAGCAGTAGATGTCAGAAGCTTTTACTTGTTCTCTTTAGTTGAACTCTCTTTAGTTGAAGAACTTCAGTCACAGGAACTACTCTTTAAAAATTATCATGAATGTTGGCCAAAATGTGCATACATAGATGTCCCAGACAGCATTGTTTATAATTGTTTTAATTTTGAAAAACTGTCAACAACGGCCGGGCGCGGTGTCTCACGCCTGTGATCCCAGCCTTTGGGAGGCCAGGGCGGGTGGATCACAAGGTCAGGAGTTTGAGACCATCCTGGCCAACATAGTGAAACCACATCTCTACTAAAAATACAAAAAATTAGCCGGGCGTTGTGGCGGGTGCCTGTAATCCCAGCTACTCGGGAGGCTGAGGCAGGAGAATGGCATGAACCCGGGAGGCAGAGTTTGCAGTGAGCCAGGATCACGCCACTGCACTCCAGCCTGGGCGACAAAGCGAGACTCCTGTCTCAAAAAAAGAAAAACTGTCAACAACCAAAATGTCAAGAGAAAGTTAAATTATGGAGAATGTGCACACAGTATTATTCTAACTGTATAAATTTCAAAATCAGGTAAAACTAAACAGTAGATTGTTTGGGGGATATATTCATGTATAATAAAACCATTGGCTGGATGCAGTAGCTTATGCCTGTAATCCCAGCACTTTGGGAGGCCAAGGCGGGCGGATCACCTGAGGTCAGGAGTTTGAGACCAGCCTGACCAACATGGTGAAACCCCATTCTACTGAAAATACAAACATTAGCCAGGCATGGTGGCAGGTGCCTGTAATCCCACCTACTTGGGAGGCTGAGGCAGGAGAAATGCTTGAACCTGGGAAGTAGAGGTGGCAGTGAGCTGAGATCGTGCCATTGTACTCCAGCCTGGGCGACAAGAGCGAGACTCTGTCTCAAAAAAAAAAAAAAAAAAGTAGAAAAAGTAAAACCATCAAGAAAATCAAGGATGATTAACAGACAGTTTGAAATAGTGTTTCCTGGAGACAGGAATGAGAGGGGATTTGATAAGGGAGGAGGAGTTCTGGGGCACTTCTGAAGTCCTGGCGATGTTATTTTTCTTAAGCTGAGAGTGGGCATGTGGATGTTAATTTTATAATTGTTTAATCCTATATGTTATATGTACTCTTTTGTTATACATTTCATGGCAAAAAAAAAAAAAACAACGAAAAATCAAATGATTTGCTTAGCTTACAAAGGTCATCCACATTTTGTGGCATTTTTAAAAGGCTGATAATCACTAAGCTTACCATGCATAGGCATGGTTCTAAGTCTTTTTCCGTGTGTTAACTAATTGAACTTCACCATGACCCTATGAAATAGATCCCCATTTTACAGATGAGGAAGCTGAGGCTCTGGAGGGTAAGATAATTGGTCAAGATCACACAGCCACTAAGTGTCAGGGCCAGGCACTGGAAGGCTGCTGTGTGGCCTCATCACTCACCATCTTAACCACTTTGCAAAAATGTTCTCAGTGTGTTCTTATCAGGATTTATTATTTTTAATTTAGCTGTGGCTTCAGTTGACTCTGAGTTTTCTGCCCTTGTGAAATAAAAGGGCATGAAACTTAGCTTGCAGTTACAGGAGATACATTTGTGACCTTCAGAGAAAGTCACTGGCAGAAGGCTCCCTGCCTGCCTTGAGTTTTTCCTTTGCCGTTACCCAGATTGACTTTCTTTCAAACCCAGACTGTGCCAATGGCTTTAATAAAAGTCAGGCTGAGTTTTGGGTTGCGCTTCTGGGCCAGAATCTTTTGGTTGACTCCATTTGCTGCATTCAACTTGTAACCTGCTCAAAGGCTCTGTTCTGGCTCCAGAGAGAGCAGAACCAGGAGCCCTGCCAGGGCGATGGTGGTGGAGCCATGAGTCGCCTGGGAAGGAACGCATTTGATGGATGGACGTGCTCTGCTCTCCTTTCATTATGAGGGTGTATCCTCCCCGTCCCTGCTCAGCAGACACAGCGGTTGAACTACTCAGAGACATGAGCATACATTATGGCCCAGAGATTTAGGAGCCCTGGTCCACTTTCAGGTCTGCTTCTGATGTGTGATGCAATTTGGGGCATGACTCAACCTGCCTTGACCTTCGTTTATCTACTTATAAAATGATGAGTAATGACAATGCTTCCTGGATGCTTTATAATTCTGGGTGCCAACCTGGACAAGCGCAGCTGTGCCCTTTCTTTCTACCTGCACACCAACAGCTGCACACCCAAGGAGCAAAGTGCATGGCAGGGCAGCCCTAACCCCAGGACACTCACGCCTGCATGCTGGAGATTAGGTCTGCCCTGTTGTGTTCCCAGGTCCACTGTGCCCAGCACTGCCCAGCAATCCTGATGTCTTTGCCTGATTAACACAGTTTTTTTGCTCTCCACAACAAACATTTCACACCTCCTCCAGTCTTTTCAAACCTGCTCTTCCTCCTCACTCTCAAATCTCCCTTTTTACTCTACCAAGAAAGAAAAGAATCAGTTTGAAATTTCCCAATCCTCCTGATAGCAAAATTAACCAACCGCATTTGCACCCAAGTGACTCTTCTTTCCCCACCCGCAATAGAAGAAGCTGATGCCTGCAGCAATACTTGGGATCCTGCCCTCCCCTGCCTTCTCTGTTCCTTATTCTATTACTTGTCCTTCCTCTCTCTTACGCATTCAGCCTCTACTTACCTGGACCCTGAAACACATTCAAGTCTCCTGTAATAAAACACCTTCACTAAACCTTCCATTCCCCTCCAGCTACCACTTTTCTCTCCCCACCTCAGCTAATCTTTTTATTTTGTTTTGTTTTGAGATAGAGTCTCGCTCAGCTGCCCAGGCTGGAGTACAGTGGTGCTATCTCAGCTCACTGCAACCTCCACCTCCTGGGTTCAAGTGATTCTCCCACCTCAGCCTACCAAGTAGCTGAGATGACAGGTGTGTGCCACCGTGCCCAGCTAATTTTTGTATTTTTAGTGGAGACAGGGTTTCGCCATGTTGGCCAGGCTGGTCTTGAACTCTTGACCTCTAGCGATCCACCTGCCTTGGCCTCCCAAAGTGCTGGGATTACAGGCGTGAGCCACTGCACCTAGCCCCTCAGCTAAGCTTTTATTAGTTGTCTGCACTTGGCATTCCCACCTTTCCCCTCCCACTCACACAGCCCTCCCTGTCTGGCTCCCTGCAAAAGAAGGCGCCGTCTCTTCCTGCCCTTCTGTACATTCATATTTCAGCTGTGTCTCATCTAAATAGCACAGTCAGATGTTTTTAAAAATCCAGTCATTGACTTTTTTTGTAGTATGTAACCTGTTCTAGTTTATTGTAACTACTTTTTTCTCCTGTGTTACTGTCTCTACCACCTTCTTTTCATCATTCTTTTTGGATTAAACAAGTCTGGCTTCTATCATTTCTGGTGGGCAGTAAAATGGTTAAATCTTACTGTTGATTCCATCATAGGTAACAGATCCTTTTTTTCTCTACCATTAAGATTTTCTCTTTGTCTTTGATTTTAAGCAATGTTATTATGATGTACCTATGTATAGTTTTTTTAAAAAATATTTTCCTCTTAAATCTGTGGTTTATTGTCTCTTGTTAGTCTTTAGAAATTCTTAACCATTATCTCTTCAAATATAGCTTCTGCCCGATTTTTCTCTATATGAGAGTCCAAACATATACTTTTTCATTATGTCCTGTATGTCTCTCTCCCTCTATCTCTCTCTCTCTGTCTCTTTCTCTCCCTCTCCCATCTTTCTGAGATGGGGGTCTCATTCTGTTGCCCAGGCTGGAATGCAGTGGCACAGCCCTAGCTCACTGCATCCCAGAACTCTTGGGCTTAGCAGGAGCACCCACTCACTATGTTGTGCAGACTGGTCATGAACTCCTGGCCTCAAGCAGTCCTCCCACCTTGGCCTCCCAAAGCACTGGGGTTACAGGCATGAACCATGGTATTTGGCCCTGTATGTCTCTTATACTCTTTATTTTTCATTCATTTTTTCTCCTCTGTGCTTCACTCCAAATATTTTCCATTGACCCATCTTCCAGTTTACCAATCCTCCCTTCAGCTTAGTCTGATCTTATGTTAATTTAATTTGTGGAGTTCTTCATTTCAGTTGCCTTACTTTTTAGGCAACTTACTTTTTTTTTTTTTTTTTTTTGAGTTGAAGTCTCACTCTGTCACCTAGGCTGGAGGGCAGTGGTGTGATCTCGGCTCACTGCAACATCTGCCTCCTGGGTTCAAGCAATTCTCCTGCCTCATTCTCCTGAGTAGCTGGGATTATAGGTGTGCACCATCACACCAGGCTAATTTTTGTATTTTTAGTAGATTCAGGTTTCACCATGTTGGCCAGGCTGGTCTCAAATTCCTGACCTCAGATGATCTGCCTGCTTCGGTCTCCCAAAGTGTTGGGATTGCAGGTGTGAGCCACCATGCCCAGCCAAGGCCTTAATTTCTATTTGATTAATTATTATAAATTCTAGTCCTCTGGAGAAATTTCTATTTGATTCTTTATTATATATTCTGGTTCTCTGGAGAAATATATTCTTTTCATATATTTTCTTGACCATATTAGTTACAGTTATTTTAAAGTTTATATCTTTCAGTGCCAGTATCAGGATCACCCATGAGTCTATTTTTATTGTGCATTTTTTCCTCTTTGTTTTTGGTCACTTACTCTTGGATCTTAGACTTAGGATGACCAACCATCCCAGTTTACTCAGGACTCGCCTGGTTTTGGCAGTTCAAGTCTTGCATCCCAGGAAATTCCTTAGTCCTAAGGAAACTGGGACACTTGCTTACTTTTTAGTCCTGGTATGCGTGGCAATTTTTTACTGAATGCTGGACATTGAGTATGAAAAACTGGGATAATTTGAGATTCAAAAATATTAGGTTGCTAGAAAAGTCCTTGTGGTTGGACCGTGAATTTTATATAATTATAACTTGGCTCAAACACATCTTTATTAATAAAAGTAGGATCCATTACAATCAACACATTTTTGCCAAAGAGAAATGAGTTTGTTTATTCCTGTACCATAAAAATCTGTGCTTTGGGATTCAATGAACTCTTGGAAAGCATTTTCTGCATCCTTCTGGTTGTGTTTTCCCTGCACAAAGTTCTCACAATGCTTGAAGAAGTAGTAGTCTGTTGGCAAGAGGTCAAGTGAATATGGCAGATGAGGCAAAACTTTGTAGCCTGATTTGTTCAACTTTTGTTTTTGTTTTTTGCTTTGAGATGGAGTCTCGCTCTGTTGCCCAGGCTGGAGTGCAGTGGTGCCATCTCAGCTCACTGCAACTTCTGCCTCCTGGGTTCAAGTGATTCTCCTGCCTCAGTCTCCCAAGTAGCTGGGATTACACAGGTGTGCACCACCGCGCTCAGCTAATTTTTGTGTTTTTAGTAGAGACAGGGTTTCACCATGTTGGCCAGCTGGTCTCGAACTCCTGACCTCAGGTGATCCACCTGCCTTGGCCTCCCAAAGTGCTGGGACTACAAGCGTGAGCCACCATGTCTGGCCTTGTTCAACTTTTGAATTGTTGGTTGTGTGACATGCAGTAGGGCGTTGTCATGGAGAAGAATTGGGCTCCTTCTGTTGATCAATGCTGGCTGCAGGCGTTTCAATTTTTGGTGCATCTCATCAATTTGTTGAGCATACTTCTCAGATGTAATGGTTTCGCTGGGATTCAGAAAACTGTGGTGGATCAGACTGACAGCAGACCACCAAACAGTGACCAGGACCTTTGGTGCAAGTTTGGCTTTGGGAAGTGCTTTGGAGTTTCTTCTCAGTCCAACCACTAAGCTGGTCATTGCTGGTTGTCATATAAAATCTACTTGTTGTCACACATCACAATCTGATTGAGAAATGGTTTGTTGTTGTGCAGAATAAGAGAAGACAACCCTTCAAAATGATGATTTTTTTGACTTTCACTCAGCTCATGAGGCACCCACTTATCGAGCTTTTTCACCTTTCCAATTTGCTTCCAAGGCTGAACAATCATAGAATGGTCAGTGTTGAGTTATTCAGCAACTTCTCGTGTAGTTGTGGGAGCAGCTTCGATGATTGCTCTCAATTGGTTGTTGTCATCTTCCGATGGCCGCCACTACGCTCCTCATCTTCAAGATTCTCATTGCCTTTGCAAAATTTCTTGAGCCCCTACTGCACTGTATGTTTTGCTGGACCAAATGCATTGTGGATGTTGCGGATTGTCTTTGCTGCTTTATGATCCATTTTGAACTCGAATAAGAAAACTGCTCAAATTTGCTTTTTGTCTAACATCATTTCCATAGTCTAAAATAAACATAAACAGCAAATAATCCATTATTAGCAAAAAAATAAATAAAGCGAGAAATGCCCATTAAAATGATGTATAACATAACCACATTTATTCAAGAATGTATTCCAATATCAAATAGCAAATTCCAACAATGCAAAAACTGCAATTATTTTTGCACTTTTATTATGCTTCATAGAGAATTTGCTTTTGCTCTTAACACACAGAGTGGAGGCAAAGAATCTTTATCTAGTCTGAGGCTGAGCTGATTCAAAACTGGGTTTCCATTGATGAAGACAGGTCCATTTCCAGATGACTCTTCCTCCTAGTAAGGAAGTCTTTGGAGGATCCCAGCTGAAGGTCTGGATATTTACCAAGCCCCTTCCCTGTGATAAGCCTGAAGGCCAGTTTTTTCCTCTCTAGTAAGATGAAACTGCTGGAAGCATTTTTTTTTTTTTGCTTTTTTTTTTTGAGATGGAGTCTCGCTCTGTCACTCAAGCTGGAGTGCAGTGGTGTGATCTTGGCTCACTACAACCTCCGCCTCCTGGATTCAAGCTATTATCCTGCCTCAGCCTCCTGAGTAGCTGGGACTGGACTACAGGTGTGTGCTACCATGCCCGGCTAATTTTTTTATTTTTAGTAGATATGGGGTTTCACTGTGTTAGCCAGGATAGTCTAGATCTGCTGACCTCCTGACCTCATGATCTGCCCGCCTCGGCCTCCCAAAGTGCTGGGATTACAGGTGTGAGCCACTGCGTCCAGCCAGCTGGAAACATTCTTAAGCTTCTCGGCCCCTCAGCCACAGCTTCCAGTTCAGCAAACGCCTTGAGGAAAAGGCAGCATCTCGGTACTCGTGGATTTGCCCTGTCTCTGGGACCTTAGCTCCTCAGGTTCCCCATGACTTCGTAGCCTTGAATGCTGATTTTGCCCCCCAGTCCCGTTAGACTGCTGAAAACTCTGCTGAGCTTCTGAGTCTCTTTGCCATTTCATTTTGATTGACATCTTGGCCGTCCAGCCCTTGGACGTGCAGCGGTAGTGATTCAATGTGCTCCTGATGCAAGGAGAGTCAAGCAGGTCAGTAGGATAGAATCAAGTCCTGTGTTGCTTACACAGGGACTTATGCCTTGAAGTGAAAGGCAGCTCCGGATGTCAGGCTTACTTCCATGTGCTTCTCTTCAGCATCTTGGCCCCTTGCATCCTGGTGGTCTTGGCAGCTCTACAATCTCTTGAAATAGTTTAGTTGTTTAATTCAGCTTTCTAATTGTTCTCAGCAGAAAAGTGTGTGTAACACCATTTAGTCTGACATAGCCTGAAGCTGAGTCCCATGACAAATGCTGTATGATTCATTAGCTTCTCCGTTCATCTACCTGGTTCTTCTCTCAGGCTGCTCACACCTTTTGCCAAGCTCCTCTGTCCATTCTCTTCTATCTTCACTTCTCATACCTCACTCACTCATGCTGGTGCACCAGTCCAAGCTTTTTTTTTTTTTTTTTTTTTTTTTTTGGTAGAGATGGGGTTTTACCATGTTGGCCAGGCTGGTCTCAAACTCCTGACTTCAAGTGATCCGCCTGCCTCTGCCTCCCAAAGTGCTGGGATTACAGGCATGAGCCACTGTGCCCGGCCTGTGCCTTTTTGAGTGTGTAAAAATTTTACATTGTTTTCCATTTTAACAGTGGAATGGTGTTGACAGGTGAGATTTTTCAGAGCCAGTGACTGGATGTGGTGAAGCTTGTTTTGTTCTTAGCATTCATCAGTTCAGGTTCCAGCCTGTCTGATGACTTGTTGGTATTGTTTATTGTTTGTTTGTTTGTTTTGAGATGGGGCCTCACTCTGTCGCCCAGGCTGGAGTGCAGTGGTACAATCTCAGTTCACTGCAACCTCTGCCTCCCAGGTTAAAGCAATTCTTATGCCTCAGCCTCCCAAGTAGCTGGGATTACAGGTACGCGCCACTTGCCTGGCTAATTTTTGTATTTTAGTAGAGACGGGGTTTCACCATGTTGGCCAGGCTGGTCTCGAACTCCTGACCTCCAGTGATCCACCCTCCTTGGCCTCCCAAAGTGCTGGGATTACAAGGGTGAGCCACCACGCCTGGTCTCAGTTGCTGTTTTTTTTTTCTATTTTATCTTTCCCTTGTGGTTCTGACTTTCTGCCCCCAGGCTTGTTTTTTTTTTCTTTTTCTTTCTTTTTTTTTTTTTTTTTTTTGAGACGGAGTCTTGCTCAGTCGCCCAGACTGGAGTGCAGTGGGGCACTTTCCACTCACTGCAAGCTCCGCCTCCTGGGTTCACGCCATTCTCCTGCCTCAGCCTCCGGAGTAGCTGGGACTATAGCTGGGACGCCACCATGCCTGGCTAATTTTTTTTTTCTTTTTTTGTATTTTTAGTAGAGATGGGGTTTCACCTTGTTAGCCAGGATGGTCTCGATCTCCTGACCTTGTGATCTGCCTGCCTCGGCCTCCCGAAGTGCTGGGATTACAGGCGTGAGCCACTGCACCCGGCACTCCCATGCTTGTTTCTTAGTTTCTTTTCAAGATGTTTTATAGTGTGGAGGAGCTAGTTGGGAATTCGAAGTAGAAATCAGTTAGGCTTGTCTTCCTATAAAAAGGCAGCACAGAGATTGGTTGCATGCAAAGTATTTAAGCACGTTTAATAGTGATAAGGTAGCTGATTGTATCTTTTAGGCCCAGGAATTTTGTGCTAATTAATAACATTCATTAGCCTCTCCTTATCTACATCGTATAAGCTTGGAGTACCCTAGACTGTGATGATAGTTTTATTTTTCATTTTAGGTAACCAGAAAAATTCAGATACAATTTACTGTTACCATTGGGTGCACACTTTACTTGCTTTATTCTATTTATTCCTCACCATAGCCCTGTGAGATCAGTATGGTTTTTTCCAGTTAGACTTTGCCACAGCTAATGAGTGGCAGCACTAGCATTTGAGTCCAGGTCTATCTGATTCCCAGTCGCAGCCACTTAGCCCCAGACTGTGCCGCTTTCCGCATAGCTGTCCTGCCATGGATATTATCTTGGCCTCCTGGGAGTGATCTTGCAGAATTGCATAGGAGCTAGTCCATTTCGCCCCAAGCAATTTGTGTTAAAGAATGAGATCGTGTAACATTTATTGCTAGGCAAAAACTGTATCTAGGCAAGAGAGGGCCTTCTGAGGATTCTCTGTCTCCTTGAGATAGAACATGTGGCAACTTATTTTGGCAAAGTACAAGCTGGTGCATTATTAACTTGATGTGAGTCAGGATACATGCTGTATGAGTTTTTATTTATGTGCTGTCTTGAAACCAGAACATCAAAAAAGTGAATTAACTGAAGTAACTTATTATATCTGTTATTCTTGATTTCAGGGAAGTTTAATTAGCATTGACAGCACCTGTACAGAGATGGGCAATTTTGACAATGCTAATGTCACTGGAGAAATAGAATTTGCCATTCATTATTGCTTCAAAACCCATTCTTTAGAAATATGCATCAAGGCCTGTAAGAACCTTGCCTATGGAGAAGAAAAGAAGAAAAAGTGCAATCCGTAAGTTGTTTTTTTTAAGTTTAACATGAGACATATTGATTCCAAAATGTATATGAAAAAGTAAAAGTCTAAGAATAACCAAGACAATTATTAAAAAAAAAAACAAAATGAAAAGGCTTACTTCAAGTATTATTATAAAGCTGTAGCAATGCAAACAATGTGTTATTGATACAAGGACAGAACAAGTCAGGAAAGTAGAATCAAAAGTCCAGATACAGACCTTAGCGTATATGAAAACTTACATGATCAAGGAGTGTCTTAGTCCATTTCGGCTGCTGTGACAGAATACCATAGACCAGGTGGCTTATAAACAAGACAAATACATATCTCACAGTTCTGGAGGCTGGGAAGTCGAAGCTCAAGGTGCTGGTAGATTTGGTATCTAGTGAGGGCCCCCTTTCTGGTTCTTAGATGACTGTTTTCTTGTGTCCTCCCATGGTAGAAGGGACAAGGCAGCTCTCTTCGGGCCTCTTTTATGAGGGCACTAATCTTGTTCATGAGGGCTGCACCCTCATGACCTAATCACTTCCCAGAGACCCTACCTCCTAATACCATCACATTGTAGGTCAGGCTTCAACTATGAATTGGTGAGCGAGGTGGACATAAACATTCAGTTGTGGAGCTATTACAGATCAGTGGGGAAAAGTGGACTTCAATAAATGATGTTGAAAAATTTGGCTTTCCACGCAGGAAATACAAAATTAAAATCTTGATTCACACAATCCATAAAGAGATTTAAAATGTTATTCTCACTGACAGACATGAAAAGGTGTAGCACCATTATAATAATAATAATAATAATATTATTATTATTATTATTATTTTGAGGTGGAGTCTTGCTCTGTCACCCAGACTGGAGTGCGGTGGCGCAATCTCGGCTCACTGCAACCTCCGCCTCCCGGGTTCAAGTGATTCTCCTGCCTCAGTCTCCTGAGCATCTGGGACTACAGGCGTGCACCACCACGCCCAGCTAATTTTTGTATTTTTAGTAGAGACGGGGTTTCACCATATTGGCCAGGCTGGTCTCGAATTCCTGACCTCGTGATCCACCCACCTTGGCCTCCCAAAGTGCTGGGATTACAGGCATGAGCCACCACACCCGGCCAGCACTATTATTTTAATGTGCATTTCCCTTATTACTAACAAAGATGAGCAACTTGTTTTAAAAAAAAAAAAATAGAGACAGGGTCTCACTATGTTGCTCAACCTGATCTTGAACTCTCAGACTCAAGCAGTTCTCCCACCTCAGCCTCCCAAAATGCTGAGATTACAGGTGTGAGCCCAGCCTTTTGAGCCACTTTTTATATATGCATTTGCCACTTAGGTTTATTTTATTTTGTTTTTTTGAGACGGAGTCTTGCTCTGTTGCCCAGGCTGGAGTGTATTGGCACGATGTCAGCTCACTGCAACCTCTGCCTCCTGGGTTCAAGCAATTCTCCTGCCTCAGCCTCCTGAGTAGCTGGGATTACAGGTGCCCGCCACCACACCTGGCTAATTTTTGTATCTTTAGTAGAGACGGGGTTTCCCCGTGTTGGCCAGGCTGGTCTTGAACTCCTGACCTAAAGTGATCCACCCGCCTTGGCCTCCCAGAGTGCTGGGATTACAGGCATGAACCACTGTGCCTGGCCAGGCTTATTCTTTTGTGAGTTTTCTATTCATATCTTTTGCCCATTTTTCTTTTTAAAAATTTAATTAATTAAAATTAATTTTTTTTTAAGAGACAGGGTCTTTCTTGCTTTGTCACCCAGCTTGGAGTGCAGTGGTGCCACTATAGCTCACTGCAGCCTCAAAGTCCTAGTAGGCTCAAGGAATCCTCTCACTTCAGCCTCCTGAGTAGCTGGGACTACAGGAGTGGAGTGCAATGGCACGATCACAGTTCACTGCAGGCTCAAGCCATCTCCCTGCCTCAGCCTCCTGAGTAGTTGGGAGGCACATGCTTGTAGTCTCAGCTATGTAGGAGGCTAAATTTGTAACTTTTTTTTTCCAGCTAGATTTTTTAACTTATTTTTGTAGAGACAGGGTTTTGTTCTGTTGCCAAGGCTGGTCTCAAACTCCTGGGCTCAAGCCATCCTCACACCTCAGCCTCCCAAAGCTCTGGGATTACAGCCATGAGCCACTGCACCTGGCCTCCCATTTTTCTATTGGATTGTTTATTGTTTTATTTATTTACCAGAGGCTTTTTGTTAAACCTAATTTAAATAGGTTTAAAAATTATTTATTAGTTATATGTATTGTACGTATTTTATCCATCCTAGCTGTAACTTGTTTTCTAACTTGTTTATTATGACTTTTCTTGTAGAAAGTTTAATATCAAATGTATCAAGCTTTTCCTTTAAACTCTCTGCTTTTTGTGTCTGTAGAAGAATTCCTGTGGCACCCAAGGGTTTAAATACGTTCTCTGGTTTCTTCTTATCGTTTTTTTTTTTTTTTCCCCACACTTAGATCTGTTCACATTACAAGCGGAATTGATTTTCTATATATAGTTTAAGGCAGGGGCCTCAGTTTTGCCTTTCTTTTTTCTTACATGGGGAACTTCTGGCATACTGTTTTAATTACCAGCTAAAGAGTGATGATGGGAAAAGAAATCAATTGTTGATTTAATCAAACTCTCTTCTGCTCTGAAATTTTTAGTAGCTCTTTAGTACCAGACAAATTAAGTACACATTTCTATAGCACTTGTGGTTCCTTCGTAACAGAATCTCTCCTATTGTTCTAGTCTTAGCTTTTATTATTACTCTTCCTGTACCGTCTACCTCAGGAAAACTGGAATAGTCTTTGCCCCAAAAGTATTTCCTGACTTTTAAATTTCAAAATTTGAGGAATGCAGTTAAAGCAGTGCTTATATTTAAAAGAAAAAGACTTAAAATGAATTATTTAAACCTCCACCTTAAAATGCTAGAAAAAGGCTGGGTGCTGTGGCTCACAACTATAATCCCAGCACTCTGGGAGGCCAAGGCAGGTGAATCACCTGAGGTCAGGAGTTTGAGACCAGCCTGGCCAACATGGTGAAACCCCATCTTTACTAAAAATACAAAAATTAGCCGGGCATGGTGGCAGGCACCTGTAATCCCAGCTACTAGGGAGGCTGAGGCAGGAGAATCCCTTGAACCAGGGAGGTAGACGTTGCAGTGAGCTGAGGTCACACCATTGCACTCCAGCCTGGGCAACAAGAGCAAAACTCCGCCTGAAAAAAAAAAAAATAGAGAATACTCAAATACCAGTATAGGAATGAAAGAAGAGACAACATGACAGCACTTGCAGACATTCAAGTATAATAAGGGGGTCAGGCTGGGGGCTCATGGCTGCAAGCCCAGCACTTTGGGAAGCCGAGAAGGGTGGATCACCTGAGGGTCAGGAGTTCAAGACCAGCCTTGCCAACATGGTGAAACCCCGTCTCTACTAAAAATACAGAGAAAATTAGCCAGGCATGGTGGCATGTGCCTGTAATCCCAGCTACACAGGAGGCTGAGGCAGGAGAATTGTTTGAACCCAGGAGGCAGAGGTTGCAGTGAGCCAAGATCATGCCACTGCACTCCAGCCTGGGTGACAGAGTGAGACTCCCTCTCATTAAATAATAAATAAAAATTAGCCAGGTGTGGTGGCACACACCTGTAGTCCCAGCTACTTGGGAGGCTGAGGTGGGAGAATCACCTCAGCCCAGGAGGGCTGTGATTGTGAGCTAAGATTGTGCCACTGTACTCCAGCCTGGGCAACCAAGTGAGACTCTGTCTGAAAAAAAAAAAAAAAAAAAAGAAAGAAAAAAATATATAATAAGGGGATATTATGTAAAACTTTGTGCTAATAAATTTAACAGCTTAGATGAAATGAACACCTTCTTTTCTTTCTCTCTTTTTTTTTTTTTTTTTTTTTTTTTAAGAAATGAGGTCTCACTATGTTGCCCAGGCTGGTCTCAAACTCCTGAGCTCAACTGGTCCTACTGCCTTAGCCTCCCAAGTAGCTGGGATCACAGGTGCACACCACCGTGCCCAGCCAATTAAAAAAAATTTTCAGTAGTGATGAGGTCCCACTATGTTGCCCAAGCTGGTCTCAAACTCCTGGGCTCATGCAATCCTTCCGCCTTGGCCTCCCAAAATGCTGGGATTACAGGCATGAGCCACCACACCTGGCTGAAATCGACACATTCTCAAGAGACACAAATTGCCAAAACTGACATGAAATGAAATAGAAAACCTGAATAACTCTATATCTGTTAAAGAGATTGAATTGGTAATTTGGCATCATCTAGAAGAGTTGAAGGGGCATATACCCTATCACTCCTGGTTATATGCCAAGAGAAGTGCTTGCACATGTGCACCATGAGCAGAGGGAAAAACTAGGACATAAGACAAATGTTCATCAACAGGATAAATGACTTGTGTATTCATTCAGTGGAATGATACGTAGGATTAGAGATGAATGAGCGGCAGTTACAGCAACATAGATGAATCCCAAACATAATATTGAGTGAAAAAAAGCAAATTATGGAAGAATGTATACAGAATGATCCCATTTATATAAAAGTTCAAAAACAGGGAAAACTAAGCAGTACATTGTTTAAGGAGACACATCAAAATGGTGAAACCATAAAGAAAACCAAGGGGGTGATAAATATAAAATCCAACGTGGTTATTACCTGGTTACGGGCAGGACTGTGATAGGGAAGTCACTGGTTATGTTCTGTTTCCTAAGCTGGGGGGCAGGGGTACATGGGTGTGCACTTTATTATAATGCTTCCAACCGTATAGGTATATTTTATATATTCTGTTTTACATATTTGAGATTGCATGAATGTGTAATGCTCAGTAACTTAAGAGTAAATGAACTGTGAAGAATTAGAGATGGAGTTTTGAGGGATTTTTTGTTTTGGTTTGATTTTTTGAGACAGAGTCTTGCTTTGCCGTCTAGGCTGGAATGCAGTGATGTTATCATGGCTCACTTCAGCCTTGACCTCCTGGGCTCAGGTGATCCTCCAACTTCGGGCGTCGAGTAGCTGGGACTACAGGTGCACACCACCACACCCAGTTGACTTTTAAATTTTTCGTGGAGATGAGTTCTCCCTGTGTATTGCCCACGCTGGTCTCAAATTCCTGGCTTATGGAATCCTCCCTGAGCCAGGTGCCTGGCCAGTTTTTGGGTTGTTTTGTTTTTCTTTTTTGAGATGGAATTTCGCTTTATTGCCCAGGCTGGAGTGCAGTGGCGCGATCTCGGCTCACTGCAACCTCCATCTCCCAGGTACAAGCGATTCTCCTGCCTCAGCCTCCTGAGTAGCTGGGATTACAGGTACATGCCATCATGCCTGGCTAATTTTTGTATTTTTAGTAGAGACAGGGTTTCACCATGCTGGCCAGGCTGGTCTGGAACTCCTGACCTCAGGTGATCCGTCCACTTCATCCTCCCAAAGTGCTGGGATTATAGTTGTGAGCTTCTGCGCCTGGCCTCCTGGCCGATTTCGAGTATTTTCACAAAAAGCTTAACCTAGGGGGAAGAAGAGACCCAAGACTGGGGCTAAAGAAGGGCACAGATAGAGGAGGCTCACTGTGATTTTTTACTTTGGAAAGTAGAGCCTGTTTCTAGCCTGTGGAGAGGGGGCTTGGGCTGCTGCTGGTTGGGGGGTCATTGCCATCACTGGGGCTGCCAGAGGAGCCATGAAGGGCAGCGTAGGGGCCTGTATGGAGGGGTCAGCCTAGAACAGGACAGGACATGTCTTCCTCTCCGCCTGGATTTCAGGGGCTGGGTGAGTGCAGATGGAGACATCTGTCATGCTGCGTGCGACCTCTAGACTCAGCAGAATCCCACTTCTCAGCGGTTGGGAGGAGCAGAGTCTTTGAGGCCCCTGCAAGGAAACAGCACAGTGCGAGGCATATGCTTTCTACTTCCACTTTTTTTTCTTTTGCAGGTGGTGGGTGGCAGAAGGGACGGGAATCCGGCTCATGGCCTTGACATCCAGGCAGGCGAGAGAATCTCTAGTTCCATGGTCTTCGCCAAATGGAGTAGGGCCTGAGGAAGGCAGGACGAGCTTCACACCCCCAGGAATATTCCAGAGGGTTATGTGGCTAGCATTTGACCATAGACTGCATGGATCAGAAGCTGCCCACCCAGCACTAACGTTGCTCACTATTAGGCTATTAAGTCCTTTCTATCAACCCAAAAATTCCAGCAGGAAGCCTGGTAAAGAAAACGCTGGCATGTGGGTTCTCTGCTGCCCCCAAACTCTTTATCCACCCCTTTCCCTGAGTTCTCACTCTGTCCCCGCTGTGTTTGGCCCCTAGGTATGTGAAGACCTACCTGTTGCCCGACAGATCCTCCCAGGGAAAGCGCAAGACTGGAGTCCAAAGGAACACCGTGGACCCGACCTTTCAGGAGACCTTGAAGGTACTTGCTGGACAGATATTCCTGTGCAGAGTCCTCCCGAGCCCGGGTGGAGCGCCTGGGGCAGAGTCCAGTGGATGGTGCTTTCAAACTCTTGACTCAGTTAGATATAATACAGACACCTATATGTTTCTTCGCAGCTCTGTCAATCAGTGTTAAGTTGGTAGAAAATAAATGTCAGCCTTTGTACAGGAAAAGTGCAGAGTCTGCCAGACTCAGGAATGGCTTTTGATTAATGATTTCTGAGAAGATGGTGAAAAAGAACCTGGCTGCCTCTTTGTCTCGGGCTAACACCGGGGCACAGGATAATTTTAAACATTAGTTTGTCTTAGTGAATGTTTCTGTCAAAGAGGTGCTCTCAGACAGAGTGCCCTGAAAATTAAACTCCTGAGTTACTGTCTTTGTAAAAGTGCCCCTTTATTGTATTTCTGACAAACTCAGGTTTCTTCTAATTTTATTTTTTTTAAATGAATCCTTTTATGAAAAATCTTACAAAGGAATTGTTTGGGTTTTCACTTTCTATGATACTAGGAAATGTGATTGATGGTTGAGGGCAGAGATGGGGCCATGCGCTCTGATGTCGGGTGGAAGGCTGCAGCTGAGGTCTGGTATCTGCAGAGAGCTGGCTGTGGTGGCCCCAATCTTGGTGCAGGGTGAGGGGGGTAGCCCAGAGCTGCAGAGGCTACCCTGCCGGGGCTGGGCAGCCAGAGGTCCCCTCGTCTCATGCCTATGACAGGAGAGGGCTTTGTTTGCCTTTCTTGGCAAGTAGGGGGTGTCTGTGAGCTGCCAGCCAGGGGCCATCTGGGCAGCTGGCACAGAGCCCTGAGTTCATTAAATAATAATAGCCCTTGTTTCCTGGGTCCCTACTGTGGCCAAGTGCTTTATATACAGCCTGGGGTAATTATTAGAATCCTCATTTACCCACGGGGAAACTGAGACCTAGAGAGTCCTTAGAAATACAGCTCAAAGCCACAAAGGACTGGCAGTTCTCAAAATTTGTGTGCGTAAAATCCCATGGGGATTTACATTTTTAAAACATTTCTTCTTTTCTTTTTTTTTTTTTTTTTTTTGAGATGGAGTTTCACTCTTGGTCGCCCAGGCTGGAGTGCAGTGACATGATCTTGGCTCACTGCAACCTCCACCTCCCAGGTTCAAGCGATTCTCCTGCCTCAGCCTCCTGAGTAGCTGGGATTAAAGGTACCCACCACGATGGCCAGCAAATTTTTTGTGTTTTTAGTACAGATGGGGTTTCACCATGTTGACCAGGCTGGTCTTGAACTCCTGACCCCAGGTAATCTGCCCACCCCGGCCTCCCAAATGCTGAGATTACAGGCTTGAGCCACCACGCCAGGCCTAAATTTCTTATTTTCTAAGATGCCCCTGTACTTAGAACTGGGGATTTTTTTAAAATGCAGATTCTGGGCCGGGCGCGGTGGCTCACGCCTGTAATCCCAGCACCTTGGGAGGCTGAGGCGGGTGGATCATGAGGTCAGGAGATCGAGACCATCCTGGCTAACATGGTGAAACCCCGTCTCTACTAAAAATACAAAAAATTAGCCGGGCGTGGTGGCGGGCGCCTGTAGTCCCAGCTACTTGGGAGACTGAGGCAGGAGAATGGCGTGAACCCGGGAGGCAGAGCTTGCAGTGAGCCGAGATAGCGCCACTACACTCCAGCCTGGGTGACAGAGCGAGACTCCGTCTCAAAAAAAAAAAAAAAAATGTAGTTATATAATTGGAGTTAAAAGGTTACCTACCTTAAAATGTACACAGAATCTCAAAGATATCACTTAAAATTTTTATCCATGGGTCTTATCTAGTATATTGTGAATATTTTATAGTCCTGGGAAACTTTCCAGTTACAATTAAAATAATCGGCATCTCTAATTGATCCTAAATGCAAAATAACCCAACACCGGCCAGCCTCATCCTTAATAGAAATATGCATAAGATGCGAAGGATGGGAAGCCGGGGAGGCCGATCCAGCATTAAAAGTCTCGCTAGAAGCCAGTATTTCCAATCACAATCACACCTTTGTGCAGCACCCAGGCTTTGTGCGACCTGAGGTGAGCCATCAGAGTACGATTCAGGTGGATGAGGCTGTGAGAACTGTCTCCAGCCAGTTTTGAGAGAAGTGCACATCAAATGCGAGGATCTAGAAATTGATCCTCAAATTTTTCTGAGCAGAGTACTTCTTGGCAAGCCTTTCTGGACCCAGGGAGACTTGTACCCCATTTGACACCACTGTCCTGGGG
The DNA here is from genome assembly GCF_000001405.40 of Homo sapiens. NCBI lineage: Eukaryota > Metazoa > Chordata > Mammalia > Primates > Hominidae > Homo > Homo sapiens. The sequence continues at coordinate 158,754,280 of NC_000006.12, forward strand.
GCCTGGAGAGGATGAAGTGATCTCACTGGGTGACATTGGTCATTGCCTGGCCCTGCTCTCAAATGATCCTTACACCTCATTCCCAGCTGAGCCTGGAGCAAGCCTTGTGGACCTAACAGGGCTATGGAAAATAGGTCTGGTTTGAAAAGGTAGATTCTAGGCTGGGTGTGGTGGCTCACGCCTGTAATCCCAGCACTTTGGGAGGCCGAGGCAGGCGGATCATGAGGTCAGGAGATCGAGACCATCTTGGCTAACACGGTGAAACCCCGTCTCTACTAAAAATACAAAAAATTAGCTGGGCACAGTGGCGGGCACCTGTAGTCCCAGCTACTCGGGAGGCTGAGGCAGGAGAATGGCGTGAACCTGGAAGGCGGAGCTTGCAGTGAGCTGAGATCACACCACTGCACTCCAGCCTGGGCGACAGAGCGAGACTCCGTCTCAACAAACAAAACAAAACAAAGCAAAGGTAGATTCTGTATGTAGCAGGGAGTAGTCCTATTGACAGAAAGGGGCGAGCAATGGGTAAGGACCCAGGAGAAGTGGCTGAGCGTCGCCCACACACAGCTGGAGATGAGAGAGCTGCCTGGGGGCCCGAGCCCGACCCTGCTAAGTGGCGTGGCGTTCTAGTAACCGCTTCATTTCTCAGAGGGCAGCAGATGCAGCTGGCCAGCTGCCTGGACTAACTGATAAGGAGTGTAGCTGGAATATGGGGAATAATCACATCAATCCAGAGTTTATAGACAGAGATTGAATGTGGGGCAGAGTCGGAAATGGACCCATGGGCTGGGTGTGGAGGCTCACGCTTGTAATCCCAGAACTTTGAGAGGCTGAGACGGGTGGAGGGCTTGAGCCCAGGAGTTCGAGACCAGCCTGGGCAATGTAGAGAGACCCCATCTCTACAAGAAATTAAAAGATTAGCCGGGCATGGCGACGCCTACCTGTAGTCCCAACTACTTGGGAAGCTGAGGTGGGAGGATCGCTTGAGCCTGGGAGGTGCAGGCTGCAGTGAGCTGAGATGGCACTGCTGCACTCCAGTCTAGGTGACAGAGTGAGATCCTGTCCCCCCAAAAAAGATATGGACCCATAGACTTGAGGGAAAACTGGCTAAAAGTTACCCAAAGGCAGGAGAAAAGGGAATGTGACCCAAGAAATGCCCATCTCCATGGCCACAAGCCACCCCAGCGGGGAGGAAAAGGAGGAATGAACTGAGGAAGCTAACCTGGCCAGCCAAGCCATTTGTGCCTGGCCCGCAGACATCAGAAGTGTGGACAGAGCCTACAGGCAGCCCCCAACAGAGCAGGGGACGGCCCTGCTGCGCCTCCCCTCTGTTTGCAGAGGCTGAAGGAGGGAAATTACCGTGTCTCAGTTCCTGTTTTATTCCATCTCGTTCCTCGATTGGAAAGATGGGTAAAGGTGGGCATGAGGAGATGAACCCCAAAGCAAACAAACCGCACAGCTGCTGCAAATGGGTGCAAGTGTCCAGCCTCACAGCAACAGCCGTGTCACGAGGAGTCACCATTCAAACCCCAAACAAGCGCCGGAGTGGGGGCAGCATGGGCCACAGAGGTCAGCAGCGAGACTCGGGCCTGGACACAGTCAGTGCACGTGAATCTGGCCTGCAGTGTCGGCTACCAGACCAAGGGAGGGAGGGTCACTGAATTTCCAAGCTGCTTTTTTTTCACCTGCAACATGGTTTGAATTATACTGACCTCATAGGGTGCGTGTGAAAGCTAAAAAGATCAATGCATCTAGAAAGCCTGGTGTGAAATAAATAAGTGTTCAATAACTTGTAGGGTTTGTTCATTATTGAGAAAATCCAACTAATAAGCTTAAAGTGAGGCCCTCAGAGGCTGAGGTGGAGTCAGCCACACCTTGGGAAGGGCTGGGTGCCACTGAGGGGCCTTCGGCCTCTAGTCTCTATGGGGCAGAACCCATGCTTGGCTGGGGAATGGGTTCCCTCGTCACTCTTGGGTGTGTTGGGAGCCCCCTGTGTGGACAGTAAGAACATCGTGTTGGCCTCTGCCAAGCCAGCACAGGCCCTGCATGCCTGAGCACAGGCACCGTCCCTCCAGGGCAAACACGTGGTGTTGCGGGGAATGGAGGAGGGGGGAGTTCATGCTTTGCTTTAAAAAATAAATAAATAAATGCAGGCTGGTGCAGTGGCTCACGCCTGTAATCCCAGCAATTTGGGAGGCCGAGGCAGGTGGGTCATTTGAGGTCAGGAGTTCGAGACCAACCTGGCCAACGTGGTGAAACCCTGTCTCTACTAAAAATACAAAAAAACAAGCCGGGCGTGGTGTTGGGCGTCTATAGTCCCAGCTACTCAGGAGGCTAAGGCAGGAGAATCGCTTGAACCCAGGAGGCAGAGGTTGCAGTGAGCCAAGATCGTGCCACTGCACTCCAGCCTGGTGACAGAGCGAGATCCTGTCTCAAAAAAAAATTTTTTTTTTTTTTTTTTTTTTTTTTTTTAGTATTTTTGGGCCTGTTATCATTATTTTTGGCCAAGCCTGGCTGGGTGCAGTGTTTAGATGCAAGTTCAAATCCTGTGCGAGCATAGACTTTGGCTTGATTTCTAGTAGGCGTGAGCTGGACAAGGACTTTCATCCTTGTCTTGTTCTAGGAATTGGGGGTGGGAGGCTACCAGGGCTACCCTTGCCTGTCCCCAGGCAGAGCACTGGGCACCTGGGGAGTAGGGGGAGGGGTTCTTGAGCAGAGAGAGGACCCCCCCGCCCCACCCTGGCTGTAAGCACCTTGACCCACCCTAACCACATCAGGTCCCTGGCTGCATCCGCATCTTGGACTCAGCCTGTGGGAGGGAGGCCTGCGCCAGGCCCCGGGAAGTGGGGCCCTGGAAGGTGGGGTCCAGAGATGGGGATCCTAGGAGTGCGGGCCCCGGGAGCCCAGCTGACCATCTCTTCCTTGCCTCTGCAGTATCAGGTGGCCCCTGCCCAGCTGGTGACCCGGCAGCTGCAGGTCTCGGTGTGGCATCTGGGCACGCTGGCCCGGAGAGTGTTTCTTGGAGAAGTGATCATTCCTCTGGCCACGTGGGACTTTGAAGACAGCACAACACAGTCCTTCCGCTGGCATCCGCTCCGGGCCAAGGTGATGTCTGGTTTTGGACTGAGTGCCCTCCATCCCCACTGTGATAGATAAATAACTTTTCAGAGAGATCCCAGAAGAGAAAACGTACCTGGCAAGACTTGGACCCAAGACTGTGTGTTCGCCGGCCTGGCGCTGTGACTTTGAAATAGTTACTTTCTTGTGGGTGGGGTGGGCGGAGGGTTTGTTTTAACTGGCTCAGCTCTGTTCAGGTACCCGAACAGCCCCCGCCTCAGCATCATACACAGACCAGACTGGATCAGGTCCTGTGGCTTCCCCTGGCGGAGGCCTCCCTTTGCTGGTGGCTGACCTGCTGGAAGCTGGCCATGCCTTTCCCTGGGGGCACCGCCCGCAGCTATGCGGTCCCCCAGGGGGCTACAGTGTGTTGTTTCTAACCTTTCAACCCCAGGCACTCTCAATAATAGGTGACAATAACTAACAGTAATAGGTGACAAATGGCTGGACCCGATGCTGTGAGGAAGGCAGAGGCCGCCCTGGCTAGGATGTGGGGCTCCAGCTCCTGGTTTGGAATTGCACGGCGGGAGATAGATAGCACGTGGGCTGGGGGTGGGTCAGAGGAGCTGATGGACTCCATTTAGGATCCGTGTCCCCCAGGCTATGCAGGTAGGAGGAGAGGCCTGGGAGAGAGGTTAGCATTTCTCGGAGACGCTGCTTTGTACTTTGCTGTGTCCAGATCCCGGACTGGGAGAGAGTTCATGTGAGACCACGAGGGATGAAAAACGTGGGCTTCTGCCATCTCTTTAAAAACCCCAGTGGGGAGCCTGGACACGGTGGCTCTTGACTGTAATCCCAGCACTTTGGGAGGCCGAGGCGGGCAGATCACAAGGTCAGGAGATTGAGACCATCCTGGCTAACACAGTGAAACCCCGTCTCTCTAAAAATACAAAAATTAGCTGGGTGTGGTGGTGCACGCCTGTAGTCCCAGCTGCTCTGGAGGCTGAGGCAGAAGAATCACTTGAACCTGGGAGGCAGAGGTTGCAATGAGTCGAGATTGCACCACTGCACTTCAGCCTGGCAACAGAGCGAGACTCTGTCTCAAAAAAAAAAAAAAAACCCAGCGGGATGGACTACTCCCCTCAGCCAAGGGCCCACGGCAGGCCCAGCCTTCTGCTCCGACCTGGACATAAGGCACAAGGGCCATCTGGCTTCTTTTCCTCTCCGGAGCCAGCGCAGCTGGGATTCGCATTATCTCTGCCTGGAAGCTTCTCAGGTTTCAGCTGAGGCCTCCTGGTGAGCCACCTGCCCCCTCCCTGCTCCTCCAGGCAATGCCCACTCTCCCACTGCCTGTGCTGACTCCCCCAAGCTAGAGTCCGGGCTTAGACCTCCCCTTCCCAGTGCCTACCTGGAATGCATCCCCTATCCAAGGTCAGCCCAAGACGACCCAAAACCCACCTCCTCCAGGAAGCCATTCCTGATTACCCCTACCAGAAGTGGCCTCCCTTCCAGGACCCGGAGCTCAGGACGCCTGCCATCTCGGCCTGATCTTTAGCCTCAGTGTCCCTTTGCTCCTGCCCCAGCCACGTTGCGGGTGGGTGAAGCATCTGGCTTCCATGCCTTCCGTGCCTTCCTCTCACCCCCGCTCTGTCATCTCTCAGAACAGCATTGGCTCCTCCGGGACGCCCTGAGTTTCCAGCCTGAACTCCTTCTGTCCGAGGCTGAATCCCCCGTGCACCCTGCCTCTCCCACACCTCTGTCATCAGCTCGAAGACAAGGCCTGGAACAAGCACAGGGCTTGGCATAGGACAGGCGGCCACCAGGCCTCATCAGACTGAGCCTGCTCTGGCAAGTGGGTGAGGAGCAGGTGGCACAGAGCTGCAGGTGGCACAGAGCTGCAGGTGGCACAGAGCTGCAAGGCATCCCTCCTAAAGCCAGTAGGGTGGGGAGTCCGCCCACAGACCCGCCCCTGGGCTCTGTTCCGCCTCGGTTTCTGGCCGCTGAGGCTGGAGGCAGCCATACCTCATTTGGCACCCGAGGGCCAGGAAGACGGGCTGGCCCACGCGGGCTCCCAGGAGTCCTGAGGCCTCTGAGGGTAACTGAGAGGGCTGCTTCTCAGTGCTGGCAGGAGCCATGGTGGACCGGATGTGTCAAGACCAAACTTGTCCAACCTGCAGCCCGGGACGGCTCTGTTTTTTGGTTGTTGTTGTTTATTTTGAGACGGAGTTTTGCTCTGTCGTCCAGGCTGGAGTGAAGTGGCGTGATCTTGGCTCACTGCAACCTCTGTCCCCTGGGTTCAAGTGATTCTCTGCCTCAGCCTCCCTAGTAGCTGGGATTATAGGCGCCCGTCACCACACCTGGCTAATTTTTTTGTATTTTTGGTAGACATGGGGTTTCACCATGTTGGCCAGGCTGGTCTCGAACTCCTGACCTCAGGTGATCCCACCTTGGCCTCCCAAAGTGCTGGGATTACAGGCATGAGTCACCATGCTTGGCCTCAGGATGGCATTGAATGCAACCCAACACAAATTCATAAACTTTCTTAAAACATGAGTTTTTTTGTGATTTTTTTTTTAAGCTCATCAGCTGTTGTTAGTGTATTTTATGTGTGGCCCAAGACAATTCTTCCAGTGTGGCCCAGGGAAGCCAAAAGACTGGACACACCCTGCTCTAGACTCTTCCCAATACTCTCCTCCCACCCCACTGGGAGAAGGATGGTGTGGATTTCAGGCTCATCTCTTTCCCGGCCCTCTCTTCACTCACTTTCTGGTAAAACCACTCATGACAGAAGTGCCTCGGTGGGCAGGGAGGTGTCCTCAGACTCACCACACCCTGAGGGGCCACCCCCTGTGGCTCTGGACAGAGACTACACCCCATGCTGTCCCCAGTGTCTGTGCCAGTCCTTGGCATGGAAGGGCAGCGTGAATCTCTACTGACCTGGGTGGGGTGGATGGGGTGGAGGCTTGAGTTCATTTCTGTTTTTCAAACTCAGGCTGTGTCTGGGTTTTCGTAGAAATGTCTTAGGGAGTGTGCAGTGCCCTTGAGTCCCTTCACTTCCTCAGGCTCATCTGGCTCTGGTTCGCTGGGGTGGCCAAGCTGTTCCTCCCCATGCTGGGGTTGGGGAGGGTGGGAGTGAAACCATAGATGGAAGGAAGACCAGTCCTGCCACGGACACACCTGCTCCACCCAGGGCCTTGCAGGGGCCAGGGGGAAGCATCTGTGGACGAAGCTGAGACAACCAGAGGAACCCAGAAGGTTCTTGGGACTTGGGGAATCCTGTCCCTAAGCTCTGCCTCTTGTCCCCAGGCGGAGAAATACGAAGACAGCGTTCCTCAGAGTAATGGAGAGCTCACAGTCCGGGCTAAGCTGGTTCTCCCTTCACGGCCCAGAAAACTCCAAGAGGCTCAAGAAGGTCAGTGGCCTCCAGCTCCCTGGACATTGTCTGTGTCATTGTCTGCAGAGCCTGGTGCTGCAGGCAGACTGAGGTGGGGTGAAAGTTTTCTAGCATTTCCTTTCTACGTCCCCGTGCCCAGCTCCAGCAGCTCTTCTTTCTGAGCCATGCAGCGAGCCCGGGAGAGGTTCTCTGGAGCCCGTAGTGGGGGAAACGGGTGACCAGAAGCAGACAAGGCCTCTGATGCCCTCTCTACGCTCCTCTAAGGACACTGCCCTAGGCCTTCCTCCCAGGGGCAGATTGGATGGTCTCTGGGGAAACCGTGGCCCCTCCTGAAGAGCAGAGGCTCCATGACAATGTGGAGCCAAGAGCACTGGTACCTGCAGGGCTCAGACGAGATAAATCCCCGCCCCCAGGCATGTGGGTAGCTGCTGCCCAGCAAAAGAAGTAGGTCAGGAGGGAGGGTCCTCAGGGACCCTATGGAGATTTTACTCCTTCAATAACGTGGGGCGTGTGGAAAGCAGGAGGGTGGAGGAGGAGGAGGGCGGGGAAGGAGGACTGGGAGAATGCACATTTCTTTTTTTTTTTTTTTTTTTGAGACAGAGTTTTGCTCTGTCACCCAGGCTGGAGTGCAGTGGCCCGATCTTGGCTCACTGCAAGCTTCGCCTCCCTGATTCATGCCATTCTCCTGCCTCAGCCTCCCGAGTACCTGGGACTACAGGCACCTGCCACCATGCCCGGCTAATTTTTTGTTTTTTTTCTTTAAGTAGAGACAGGGTTTCACCATGTTAGCCAGGATGGTCTCGATCTCCTGACCTCATGATCCGCCCACCTTGGCCTCCCAAAGTGCTGGGATTACAGGCGTGAGCCACCACGCCCGGCCCAGAATGCACATTTCTGTTGTGTATTTTGCTGACTCCCTATTTGGCTAGAAGAGGAAATTCTGCTACCCAAGTTCACGGGGTCACCAGCAGACCAGCAGCAAGTGCCCCATGGCCATCCCAACCTCCTAGACAGGGTCTCGGGGCTCTCACTTTCCCCCAAACTTCTGGCTACAACTAGACTCAAACTTCGGCATCTTCCCTCTCCTTGCGTTCCTCTTTACTCTTTTCTAGGATCTTAGTAATCCCTCCATCCTGTCCTCCACCTGACCACAGAGCGGCACGGTGTGGGCAGCGCCACAGCCTGTGGGCAGGGCCAGCAGAGCCCACTGCACCACTCCCATCTGCTCTCTCGGGGTCTGAGGGCTGTAGCAGATTCTCTAGCTGAGCTCTCGGTTTTGGGGTGGTGGTACTGCATACTAACGTATCAGGAGACATGGTTTGACAGTGAATACTGGCTTTCCTTCCAGGGACAGATCAGCCATCACTTCATGGTCAACTTTGTTTGGTAGTGCTAGGAGCCAAGAATTTACCTGTGCGGCCAGATGGCACCTTGAACTCATTTGTTAAGGGGTAGGTATTCGATGTAATCAAATATTTATTGGTGATCTAGTATACATCACAACATGGCCCAGAACCTGCAGCGAACACTAAAAAACGTAAGCCACTTAAAACGTCTTATTTTAGCTTTCCTATGAAAATCTAACAACACATATTAAAGACCCTGATTTCCAAAAATTCACGGGATGTGTACATGCTGGAGTACTCGAAACCCTAATCTTCTCAGTTCTGTGATATCAGGAAGCCAGTTTTGAAATCAAGCATGAAAATGTGGTGTGGTCAGTAAATATTTCCTAAGCTTAACATCTCCTCTTGGACCAACAGTAAAACGCATGACTGTCCACATTTCATTCTCATTCAGTATAGGTGCATTGGCCCCTCTAAAAGTAAGGCAAATACCATTATTACATTGAATTGCAAACTCCCCGTCAGTGACATAGGGAAAAATGACGGTCAAGATAGAACTCAGGCTGGACGCAGTGGCTCGTGCCTGTAATCCCAGCACTTTGGGAGGCTGAGGCAGGTGGATCACCTGAGGTCAGGAGTTCAAAACTAGCCTGGCCAACATGATGAAACCCCATCTCTACTAAAAATACAAAAATTAGCTGGGTGTGGTGGCGGGCACCTATAATCCTAGCTGCTCTGGAGGCTGAGATAGGAGTCTTCCTTGAACTTGGGGGGAGGAGGTTGCAGTGAGCTGAGATGGTGCCACTTCACTCCAGCCTGGGCGACAGAACAAAACTCCGTCTCAAAAAAAGGAGAACTGAGCTTATGTTCTAATCTTGTTGCTTATCTGCATGGCCTTGGACAAGCTTGTCTGAGTTGATTTTCCTGAGAACAGGGTTAAAAGGAGATAACGTGTATCTGCAGTCATGGTGGGAGGCACCCCAAGGAGGAAAGATTAAGATGAGGGCCACGAGGCCTCAGCATGCAGCTCGCCCTTCATACCTGATGCAGAATTCGGCCCTAAGGGAAATGTGCCGAGTCCTGTGGTTCCCACCCTGCTTCACTGGGGAGGGTGTGGATGTTGTGGACTTGGCACTTTTCTTAGTGCTTCCCGTCTGCACTGACGCACAGGCCTCAGGAGAGAAGGCCGTGTGGATGGCAATGATTGCAGGGTTTGTGTTCCCTCTTCAGCTGTCTCACTCTGCCAGACCAACAAAAACTGAGACTGAAGTCGCCAGTCCTGAGGAAGCAGGCTTGCCCCCAGTGGAAACACTCATTTGTCTTCAGTGGCGTAACCCCAGCTCAGCTGAGGCAGTCAAGCTTGGAGTTAACTGTCTGGGATCAGGCCCTCTTTGGAATGAACGACCGCTTGCTTGGAGGAACCAGACTTGGTTCAAGTAAGTCTGAGACATTGAGCCCAAACGTTTATACTTTGTGATTATCCTAATGGGTACCGTGCAAAGAAAATGCTTCCACCAGGGCAGTGACTTAACTGGTTTTGAAATTGCCTAGCCTGCCTTAATTGGAAATGCCTAAGTCTAGTTTTTACTCTACAGCTGAGCCATAATACAGCCAAGTATTTTGACAATTTAAATCAGATTTAGATCTGCTAAAGAAACAAAAATTATAGGCCTCCAAACGGGCTAGGTACAGTATTTGCTTTTGTTTCTGGCGTCAATCATAAAAGGATTATTTTCTTAAATGAAAATATCTTCTTAAACAAATGGCAATTCAGAAAGTACTTCATCAAAAGTGGTCAGAACAGCAGTGCTGTCCAGAGCCGCTCGGCAGGGCACCGCCGGCATGGTAGGTGGACAGCCCTCTGCTGTGAGGTTCTGTGCCTGGCACTGCTTCTGGCTGCCAGCAGTGTCCCTGACATGATGACAACCAAAAACACCTGCACACATCTCCAAGGACCTCCAACTGAGAACCAGTGACTGAAGAGAAATAAGCTTCACTGCTCCATTGCTTTTCAAAGATATTTTGTCCAAAGCATACTGTCTTCCTCTAAGAATCCCTTCCCATGGGCAAGCCCAGCCCCCAGTCTGAGACGGCCCCACCCAGCTAGCCATGCTGGTGTGCAACTATCCACTCCCTTGGTGAAGACCCAGCCCACCAAACCAGAGTCCTCGCCTCACTTTCAAACTACAGAACTCCAGGCTGTTAGAGCCTCGCAGAGCAGAGGATGCCTGCGTGAATCCCAGTCTCAACACCAGCTTTGTTGGGGTGGGAGTGGTGGTGGCGGCGTCTGTCATCAGTGGTTGGCCTTTTAATGTGGACTTGAGGTGAAAAACTTCTGGCTGGTCATCATTTTTAAAGGGATGAGAGGGGATGAAGTGGTGCCCTCCCCGACCATGGCTAAATTGTCTTCCTCTCTTACAGAGGGAGACACAGCTGTTGGCGGGGATGCATGCTCACTATCGAAGCTCCAGTGGCAGAAAGTCCTTTCCAGCCCCAATCTATGGACAGACATGACTCTTGTCCTGCACTGACATGAAGGCCTCAAGGTTCCAGGTTGCAGCAGGCGTGAGGCACTGTGCGTCTGCAGAGGGGCTACGAACCAGGTGCAGGGTCCCAGCTGGAGACCCCTTTGACCTTGAGCAGTCTCCATCTGCGGCCCTGTCCCATGGCTTAACCGCCTATTGGTATCTGTGTATATTTACGTTAAACACAATTATGTTACCTAAGCCTCTGGTGGGTTATCTCCTCTTTGAGATGTAGAAAATGGCCAGATTTTAATAAACGTTGTTACCCATGTCCTCCAGTGCTTATCAAATGAGGTAAAAGGCCGGCTGGTGGGCATGGTAACTCCCCCCTGTAATCCCAGCAACTTTGGGAGGCTGCAGTGGATGGCTTGAGCTCAGAAGTGTGAGATCAGCCCAGGCAACATAGATACCCTGTCTACAAAAAAACCAAAAAATTATCCAGGTGTGGTGGTACACACCTGTAGTCCCAGTTACTCAGGAGGCTGAACCGGGAGGATTGAGCCCAGGAGGTTGAGGCTGCAGTAAGCCCCGATCATGCAACTGTGCTCCAGCCTGGGCCAAAGTAAGACCCTGTCTCAAGGCGGGGGGGGGAGTCACAGCTTCGCTGTGAGAAGCACTTTATTTTTTGAGACGGAGTCTCCCCGTCACCAGGCTGGAGTGCAGTGGCACGATCTTGGCTTGCTGCAAGCTCCGCCTCCCGGGTTCTAGCAATTCTCCTGCCCCAGCCTCCCAAGTAGCTGGGATTATAGGTATGCACCACCACACCAGGCTAATTTTCGTATTTTTAGTAAAGATGGGGTTTCACCATGTTGGCCAGGATGGTCTCGATCTCCTGACCTCGTGATCCGACCACCTCGGCCTCCCAAAGTGCTGGGATTACAGGTGTGAGCCACTGTGCCCGGCTATGAGGAGCATTTTAGAGGAGCCTGATGAGTGTTGGAGCAGTCTTTCTCTCCTGTGGAAACCATCTCGAGGAGGTTAGGTGACCCATGGAGCACCATGTCTTGGGTTGGTCAGCTCCAACTTACCAGTGTACCCCCAGGGACACCACGGCCCCTCACGAAACCTGGCCAGAGGACAGCATAGAGCCCAGACGAGTCGGCGGTAGCCCTCCCACCCCACACACAAGCACACACCCGTGCTGCTTCGTGCCTTTGCAAAGCTTTTATTTCATGTCTGCGGCATGGAATCCACCTGCACATGGCATCTTAGCTGTGAAGGAGAAAGCAGTGCACGAGAAGGAATGAGTGGGCGGAACCAACGGCCTCCACAAGCTGCCTTCCAGCAGCCTGCCAAGGCCATGGCAGAGAGAGACTGCAAACAAACAAACACAAGCAAACAGAGTCTCTTCACAGCTGGAGTCTGAAAGCTCATAGTGGCATGTGTGAATCTGACAAAATTAAAAGTGTGCATAGTCCATTACATGCATAAAACACTAATAATAATCCTGTTTACACGTGACTGCAGCAGGCAGGTCCAGCTCCACCACTGCCCTCCTGCCACATCACATCAAGTGCCATGGTTTAGAGGGTTTTTCATATGTAATTCTTTTATTCTGTAAAAGGTAACAAAATATACAGAACAAAACTTTCCCTTTTTAAAACTAATGTTACAAATCTGTATTATCACTTGTATATAAATAGTATATAGCTGATCATTAATAAGGTGTATAAGTACAATGTATTCTAAAACTGTTAAGCAAAAAAAAAAAAAACAAAAAAAAAAATCCAAGTGTCCTCCTCCACCACTCACGCTGGTGATCACTGTGCTCTCTGCCAGCTGCGTGGAGTGACGGGAGGAGGGAATCACTGTGTGTGCGAGAGTGCTTCAGACTCAATTTCCAAAATAATTTTCACCCCTCTAAGCATGTAAATATACAAAGATGGATCCTTCATAGAAATTAAAAAATCAATTTGAGCTCATTTCGAATACAGAACAAGTATGGCACAGATGGAAGTCCTGCCACGTTTCCTTTAATGATGCTGACTCTTGTATCACACAGGCCAGCATGAAGTTTCTTACTCAGACTTTACAGGCATTTTCCGTAATTCAATCAGTCCTGCTCCCAGCACAACACAGGAGGTGATTCGAGAATAATCGCGAGAATCAGGCCTGCTTGGCACTATTACAACTGGGGAAAACAAACCAGGGCGCCTCCCTGGTTCCCAGCCCAGAATGTTTCTGTTGGGTAACTGCTTTCTAAAGGAACTGGGATCTGAGGGAGTTCCTAGACTTGGAGCACTAAAGACACAAGCGTGGCGGGGCTGGCAGCGCCCGCTATGAGCACCCCTCTGCCCTTGGTCCTGGCCTGGCTGTTACAGGGCCTCGAACTCGTCGATGCGCTGCTTGGTGTTGCCCTGCCGGATCTGCCGCAGCGTCTTGTACTTGTCCCGGCCTTGCCTCATGTTCTCGTTGTGGATGATGTCATTGTGGGTCCTCTTATTCTCATCTCGGGCCTGGGACAGCTCGCTGCTCAGCGTCTGTAACATTAAGCAGCATTGGTCTAGTCCCTTCCTCCCCATATGGCCCGGCCCGTCCCCTAGGAAAACAGGAAGGGCAAGAGGGGTGCTGGGTGGGGCTGGCTCACATCACTGCCCTCCCCAAGCCTGTCTGCTCCAAAAGCGAGGCAGGCTCCCTGGAGACAGAGCCCCTTGGGCCTCACCAGCAGCTGCCGCTGCACACGCTCGTTCTTCTCTGCCTCAGTGATGCGCTTCTCCTCATTGCGGTCATCCCGGATGCCCTCACTAGACAGCTCCGCGCTGTAGCCCGTGGGCTCTGCGCCCTCATCCTGCAAGCTCTCCTGGACATGGTAGCTCACCGGCTCGTACACGGGGGGTGGTGGGGGCGGGGGTGCTGTCATCACCAGGTGCAGCTCCTCCTTGGTCTTCACCAGGTCATCCTGGGCTTCTTTGGCCTTTGGAAAGCAAATTAATAAGAGGACTTCTCACCCAGAAGTCCTATCCTCCTGGCTATGAGAACAGACTGTCACCTCCCTCTGTCCTGGCAGGCTAAGGCAGCACTGAACTGTGCTGGGCTGTGGCTTCGAAGAGGAGCACCCTCAGGGTGCATGGGGGGTTTACAACCCTCTGCGTCCAAGACAGGAAGAGGAACTGTGATGCCGGAACCTGGGCAGTTTTAAAACTACCATTTCTTTTTTTACCTGTAACTCTAGACATTATATAATTTTTAGAAAAAAAATCCTGTTAGCATGAGTAACGGGCTCTGTTCCTAGCCTCCCTTCATGCCACAGTCATTATCAAGTGCTCTCCTGCTCGCCACTTGCAGTCCTTCCAACAGCTTCACACACACCCAGTCCCGCCCGCCTCCATCCCAGCCAGCCCTAGAGTTGAGCTTAGTGTGGATCTGCTTTGTAGCCAGCTCTCCTCACTTAACAGGTACTTTCTCCAAAAACCTAAGAACCAAAGTCTTCCGCTTGCAACTTGGGATGGTGATATGGCTGTGTCCCCACCCAAATCTCATCTCCACCTGTAATCCCCCCATGCTGGGGGTGGGGGGCATTACCTGGTGGGAGGTGACTGGATTACGGGGTGGTTTCCCCTATGCTGTTCTCGTGCTAGTGGGTGGGTTCTGAGCAAGAGCTGATGGTTTCAGTGTTTGGCATTACCCCCCTTTGCTTTTCTCTCTTCTGCCCTCATGTAAGAGGTGCCTGCTTCCCCTTCGCCTTCTGCCACGATTGTAAATTTCCTGAGGCCTCCCCCAGCCATGTGGGACTGTGAGTCAATTAAACCTCTTTTCTTTAACTACCCAGTCTCAGCTTGTTCTTTATAGCCGTTGTGAGAACAGCCTAATACAGATCGGCAGCGGGAATGGGGGCTGGAACAGAGGCAAGGAGGTACTAGGCAGCAGCAGCCCTGGAGAGCCGGGAGACACGTCCCCAGAAGGCACCTCCACAGATGGAGAAGCCACAGTGGGGGAAGGACGGGCCAGCGGGTCTGTGAAGGAGAGGAGCTGCTTAAAGCCTGGTGTGCAGTCTCCAGTGGGAACCATCCCCAGAGCTTCTCAGGGGCTGTGCCTTCCTGGAGGGCACAGGGGATCCCAGACGGAGCGACAAGCTCTGTGTGCGTCCCACAATGAGAGCTACAGCTGACTAAACCTCTGTGCTAGGTCCTGGGCATGGGACCTCGCATCTGCAGAGCAACCTTATGAGTTGGGTATTGCCCCCATTCTACAATGAGGAAAATGAGGCTTGAAGAAGTGATGCTACTAGCCCCCAAATAGCTGATGAGCAGCAGAGCCCAGCTCTCACTCCAGCCTGGAGACGTCCAAGGAGCTGGATCTTTCCATGGTGCCCGCTGTATATACTAGCTGCAGGAGGTCGTGTTTCAGGCACTGCGACCCCATTGCAAGGGGCACATATATAATTAGATTTAAAACCAGTTCCTGACCGGGGGCTGTCAGATCAGCACTGAACAGTTCGGGGTGGAGGGAGCAAAGTGGGTGAAAGTCAATCAGAGGTCCTCCCTCTATGAATCCAGCAGCTGCACTGACTCGTGTACAAAGTCAAACCCATCTCTTTGGGGATGTCTACTTCAGTAGTACAGCTGGTATTGGCAGAGGATCATGAGACATCCCAGAAGCTTCCAGTGGGATGTGGCAGCTTGAGCCAGACCTCTCCCCCAACCCACCCACCTGCAGAAGGGCCCCACCGCAGGCAATTGGGCAACAGGTGCTGTGGCCGTGCGGAGGTGTCCCCCGTGCAGACTCACCCTGTGCTGCCACTCTTCAACTTCATCCTCCTTGCGCCTCCGCGCCTCTTCCAGGAGGGCAATCTTGGCAGTGTATTCTGCAAGCTCCGCAGCCTGGGAAGGGAATGCCAAGCTCACGTCAGTTCTGATATCCTTTCAACGGAGTCCAGTTGTGAATGAGTGTTCATGTGTGTTGGCAAGCAGTCTCCAACGTGACACCTGAGTCCCCGCCACCCCCACTCCATGGCCAGCAGGGTCCATTGTGCACCCCCGGCATCTCTTCCTGGATGCCCACACCCACCTTCAATGGGTGACCCTGGCAACAGCCCAGCCCCTTCCCCACCAGCTGCCTTCAGCCCCCCAGCAGATCAGTTTACAGCTTCCAGTCATGACAATTATTACAAGGCAGGTGTCACATTTTCCATCCTCAGAAGCAGCCTCTCTATAATTCAGCATCTTGAAACTCAGGCCATTCCTACCAGCTGCTCCTGGCTCTTTATCTGATCCACCGCCTGTCTCTCCAGCTCCTCCTTAGCCCGCAGTGCAGCCATACGGTCAGCCTCTAGGCGCTCGGCCTCCTCCTGTGCCCGCTTCCTCTCCTCCTCCAGCTGCAGGGCCCTCTGAATCTGCTCCGAGAGCTCTGCAAAGACACAAAGCCAGAGCCATTCAAACCCTCAGCCCAGGGACCTAGGAGCCCTCGCTTTCCATTCCCACCCCCAAAGCCACAGAGCCCTAGACCAAGTCACAGGTTGAGGGGATGTCTTCCAGTGACCCTGGAGGAAAGCACTTCACAGAGCTCATTGCTGCTGTATCCATGACAACTTCCTCAAGATGGCTAGAAACCCGTCCAACGCCAGCCAGGCGCCCTCTCTCTGGCATGCCTGACTCAACCCTCTTGGCGCTACTCTCCCCAGGTCAGCCGCCCGCTGTGCTGGTGGTCCACACTCCACTCAGAACACAGAACACCCTTCCCATGTGTGCTGTAAGGGCTGCCAGTGAATACAGCATCTGTGGCGCCTTGTGTAATCGGCCCAGCTGCTGGGGTTGTTGACTGGAGCTGTGCTGGGAAGTCTGGCTCTGAACACGCCTTTGGGTTTTAGTCTAGAGGTCGAGGGCAGTGCAGCATGGCCCTGTCAGTCATGGGCTGGGGGACTGTGGGCAAATCACTGTACCGCACCAAACCTTACTGTCCTCATCGGGGAAACTGGGTGATTGAGCACTTACCGCAAAAGACTAGGGAAATTTTAAAATACAAAGTCTTAGAACAACTAGCATCAAAGTTAAATAAGTACAGAACTGTTTTCCAAACCAAATAACCATTTTATCATTTCGGCTGTGAGTCTGCGCTGTGGGACACGTTCTTGGTTTCCTTCCTGGTGAGTGGGTGGGTGGGTGTGGCCCCTGCTACTCTGTGGAAATGCATGACCCAGTGTAGAGTGCCAGCCCCAGGGCGCCTGACCTCTCTCTGCCTTCTTTGTCTTCTCCTCATAGTCCTGCAGCCGCAGCATCAACTCCTCCTTCTCGCGCATCATCTGCTCTTTCTCTCTCTCCACGGTTTCTCTCCTTTTCTTCTCTGTTTCCAGCTGTTGCCTGGTGCAGGGAAAAAGAGGCACAGGGAGATTTAGACTCTGGCAGGAAAGTGAGGGGTCAACACACTTCACGGGTACTTGAAGCTCCAGGATGGACTTGGTATCCTGAGGGCCACCCTAGCCTGCTGCCAGCCTGAGCTGCCTGACGGAGCAGCCGCTCCAGGGCTGACAACAGGCTCAGCACCACAGCAACCGCCCAGAGACAAAGGCCTCGAAGATCCCAGCGTGGTGACTGGGTTCCATTCCACCACACTCTCCCCATCAGCTCCACAGTCACCTGACAGGCACTGGCTGCCAGTGGCTGAGTTGGGAGAACACAGGCCCCCCCCACTCTGGCCTCACGCGCTCACCGCTCCAGCTGCTTCTGATGCTTCTCCTCCCGGGCCTGGGCCTTCATCTGCTGCACCTCGATGGTGTCAGGCTTCCTGCGGCGCATATACAACTCATGGTTGCCCATGCAGAGCTGCAGGATCCGCTTGTTGATTCTCAGACGTGGGGCATAAAACACAAAGTCCTACAAAACAGAACAGGGCCACCTGGACTCAAGCTCCTTCGTTTGGTTTTCTTCTCCAAACCATCCTTCACAAAGGTCCAGAACTTTTCTAAAAGAACAAATGTAGCAGAACAGGGATGGCAGCATCTCGGCACTAGGAATGTGCATTCTCCAGGACAGATGGAGGAAGGGCACGTGCCGCGTGTGTGTGCGGTTATGTGTGGGTATGTAGCACTGGGAAAGTGCATTCTCTGGGACGGGTGGAGGAAGGGCAGGTGCCGCGTGTGTGTGCAGTTGTGTGTGGGTAGGGACATCCTGCATGCACACTGAAATGCCACTGCACGTTA
This sequence comes from Homo sapiens, assembly GCF_000001405.40. Lineage (NCBI taxonomy): Eukaryota > Metazoa > Chordata > Mammalia > Primates > Hominidae > Homo > Homo sapiens. The sequence goes on from NC_000006.12 coordinate 158,771,734, forward strand.
ACTGCAAAGCTTTTCCAAGGTGAGAACTCTCAGCCTTGGGAAACCTTTCAAGTCTCAGAGCTGCCTGCTCTTCCAGGTAGCCACCTTTCATGATGTCCTCTCCAGCCTCACTGCTGCTCCCCATCCCCGATGCTTGCCTGGACTGCCTCTGCTGCTATTTGGGCTTCCTGTCTCCTCTGCCACAGCCTCCCCTCCCACACTGTTATTGCTACACTGACTGGGTCACCACCCCGACCCATCACTGCCAGCCTGGGAGCTCCAGGATGAGCTCCAGGGCCTGGGCCCAACCCACACAGAGACCTTCCAGCTCTGGGCCCAGCCTCCGCTGTGCACTCGGTTCTCTCTCCTCAAAGCTATCCAGCCCTGCTCCTGCCACACCAGCTACAGGTACTCGCCGCAGTGGCACTGTCACTTCACTCCAGTGACTCCTTTCAGCATCTCACTCCTATGAGGCCATCAGCTCCCAAGGGCAGGGGCCACACATTCACTCATCTCTTATCTTCCCAGGGTATTTGAGGTGTGCAGTACCTGCCAGGCACTGCCAGCTCGTGCAGCACAGACAGCCACGTGCGAGCTCCACAGCCTTGAGCACATCCCTTCACCAGGCTCAGTGCCTTCAACCATAAGGCAGGGATGCCGGTATCTCAAGGGACTTCAGATATGGGACTCAATCCTCCCAGCAGTCCCATTAGATGCTGGCGTCCCCGCCTTATCGGTGACGTTCAGGAGGTGCTCGGCGCAGGAAGAGCTGGCTGACACACACAGCGGTCACTCCAATTGCTAGTGCCTTGCAAGACCACAACCAGAGGAGCCTCCTGGAAAACAAGGCAGAATCACAGCCTTCGGGAAACTCGTGACCATGACTGGAAACATTTGGGACACAGCTGACAATCTTGGTCCCAACTCCTTGCTACTGCTGTGATTAGCTTACAAGACAGAAGAATATGGTTTAGAAACTCCCATGAAAAGTTATTTTTCAGTGACTCTGTTGGCTTCCTCTTAACCTCAGGGCCCCCAGCATCCAGCTTCTGACCATTTGGAACAGAGGGACAGGGTGGCTAAAACAAAAAAACAGTGCGATATATCCCACAGCAACTTCTGAGACCTAACGAGGAACCGGCTGAGCGGGCTCATCAACACATCCGAGAAGAATCTATTTAGCTTCAGTCTTTTCATCTGTTCCAGAAATCCTAGGGTGAGAGGTGATGCCAAGCCCTGAGAGCCCATGAACTTCCTGGGTGGGGCTGTCTTTGGGGTTTCACACCCTTGCTGTTAAGTCATTGGGTTTCCCAGGGAGGAGTCTGTGGAGCTGGGAGCAATCGGCATTTTTATGACCCACCTATCCCTTATTACACAAGAGGAAACAATCCTGCATTACAGCTTTGGAGGACTCTACCAAATAGGCCCTGACTCAGAAAACGCTGATTAGCACCAACTCCCCTTTATGGGGTTGTGGGGGTGCATGGGTGGGGGGATCAATGAAAAACCTCAATGGTTAACATAACAATGTCTCCCTCTCTCCCTTTCCCTGCAGAAGACAGGTCCTGCCAGCAACGGGAACCAGAATTTGGGGAGTCCACTGCCAGTGGGTGAGGGAGGATGGTGCCTGGCAGGAAATCTCTCCCAGTGCCTTTGAAGGAAGCCGGTTTCTCACTTCAAGTTAAAACAAAGACTCATACTGAAATGTTTCTAAATCCAAGTCCCTAACCTGATGCAGGATGCAGCTTCCTGATGCAGAACCACAACACGACAAGACCTGGAGCAGGGTTTTTAAACTGGCCGAGGACCAGCAAGGTAAAAATGCAAACCAGGCACAAGGAAAGTTCAAGAAAAATAAACCCAAGACCCTACAAATACAGAAGGAGAGAAGGTAAAAGAGCCCCTTTTCAAGTCCCCAGGATGCCAGGAAACTCTCCCACAAGAGGCCAATCCCAAGGCTCATCTGGCCGCAGAGATGGCAGGAGGCAGCCGCGGGAGGCAAAAAGGCAGCGGGGCTCCTGGGAAGGTCACGTGGGGGAAGCGTCCGAGGAGTCAGAGCGGAAACGCTGCTTACTTTCTCCAAATTTCAGATGCCTCAGAGCCTTCTGCCTTTTCCACAAGGCCACAGGAACAAAACGCCCTTTTGAAAGGGAAAAGGCAGCCGCCTCAGCCCCTCATAGTGTCACCTGGGCAGGCCGTGTCAGCTGTATACAAGGTCCCATCTAAAGAGCCAAAGTGTGGCCCCAAACTGCTGTATGCACCTTGGCAGGGAAGAGAAGCTGGCTTTTAAAAAGGAGACGCCAGTTGTTGGGTGAGAACTGGACAAAGACTCATTTGTGAGTTCACAGCAGAAACCGCCTGGGGTGAAGATGACCCGTGAAAGTCAACACAAGATAAGGAATCCCACCGCCTCAAACTTTGGGCCTCTTCTTTTTTACAAGAAAGTTCGATGTCGAAAACTTGAACTTCTTCTGCCCAAAGTTTACAGACTGAGGTGGGGCAGTGCCTCGAGCAGCCCTGGGGTGCTGTGGGGGTGACAGAACTCCACCTCCTCAAACCAGCAGTGCCCACTCAAGGCAAATGCTGCCTCCTCAGTGTGGCTCCTGCCCAACCTGCCTAAAGGAATCTCACCCCCATCTTCTGATCCGGCTTAGTTTTTAATCACAGCTGTACTGTTAAATTTACTACCAGGAAGCATCTCAGTTGCCTTTTTAACCCTTTCCTTCACGTAAATGTAGGCTCACCAGGGTAGGAGCTTTGCCTTGTTGATGGTGCACACAGCCCTGGAAGAGTGCCTGGGACAGCGTGCCACCAGCGAATGTTTCTTTTGCTTACGAGATGGCTTCACATGAGGCTACTCTATAATAAAGGCACATGCACGAGATGCGTTACAATGGCTTCTGCTTGGGGCTTATTATGAAAATATTCTTCAGCTTTTCAAGAGATGGACTTATCATCAAACACACACACACACACACACACACACACACACACACACACACGCACAAACATTCTGAAACAGTCTAGTCCAGAGCTGCTGCTCTAGTCAAATTTTTAATAAGTGTTCTGAAAAGGCAGTAGCGTCACAGAGTACGTAGTAGCCTACTGATGAAGAGATTTCAGCATTTTCTTGCTCTTCTAAACTGTGCCAATCTTACTACCCAAGTGACATGAAGACGCTATGACCCTCCATTCATGCTGTTGCATAATATGAACTGCTGCCATGGAGCCTTAGAGTCTGCATTCAATACGCGTTTAATTTTAAATAACCGTGCAACTACCCACAGAGTAGCAGCCAAGAGTTTGCAAACAGCAGGAGCCCTTTTTTTTTTTTTTTTTTGAGACGGAGTCTAGCTCTGTCACCCAGGCTTGAGTGCAGTGGCGATCTCAGCTCACTGCAACCTCTGCTTCCTGGGTTCAAGCGATTCTCCTGCCTCAGCCTCCCGAGCAGCTGAGATTACAGGCGCCCACCACCACGCCCAGATAATTTTTGTATTTTTAGTAGAGATGGGGTTTTCACTGTGTTGGCCAGGCTGGTCTCGAACTCCTGACCTCGTGATTCGGCCATCTCAGCCTCCCAAGGTCCTGGGATTACAGGCGTGAGCCACTGAGCCTGGCCAAGACGTTTTTAACAAAGAAGAAAATACTTTCACAAAATTGTCAAGACCTGCTGATTTTAAATTATGCTAGACAAACCTGTATGTGGGGAGAAGTAACAGGACAATAACACCACATACTGTTCTAAGTGGATTTACCATTGCTAAGCAGTACCCAGTCCCAAAAGGGTTAACAAGACAACCAAGGTATGGACCACAGCCCATGTTTGCCTCTCCAAGCTTAACACTGTAACTAAGGAACCAAAATTACATGAGAACACAAAGTCCTTTCCAATCTATAATTTTCGTAAAATTCAGAACAGGCTCTAAGGTGGTAACAGAATTTCTTCAGGTGGCAATTTTTTAGAGAACTAGATTTCTGATTAGATAACAAAATCCTTACCCATTCTACAATGCTACAGTTATGTGCGTATGTCTCAAATATTCTGAGTTAACAAAAGTTTAAATGTCAGCAGAATAAATAAAACCAAATTTACATAATGCACTGGTCTTTGCAGCTATTACAATCAATACTATCAGATTTCAGGACATAAAGTGTCGCCTTCTTACCATGTCCTCCCAAAATGACTGCCTGCCAGTGTCACCTGTGTGAGGATGCACACCTCTGACAACAGAAGTGGGTGAAGCCCCGATGAAACCTTGGGCACCAGCAATGCTTGGGTGCAAGTCTGACTGTCCCTATCTTGGGTAAGTTCCAGGACAGCTCTGAAAGGCAAATCTGGCCCTTGAGACTCGCAGGTCCCACTGTCCGTCAGGTGCCGGGGAGAGTCCCTGCACCCAGGTGGTCAAGGGGACAGGCTGGCTCTCCACACCAAAAACACAGCATTTTGGGAAATGCTTATCATTTGGCCAATGGCTCAGAACTGCCCTTTTCTTCATAAGGAATGAGAATCATTTGAAAAGTTAAGTGGTCTCCCCTGCAGCAATTGCCTGGCCCACAGGATCTCTGGCCCTCAATGTAACCTCATGAGGAGTTTGGACTATCACTGGCTACTCGTCACAGTATAACTTGTCCGTTACCCTGACAAGTATAAGAATGAAAAACAGTAGCCCCTGAATAGAATCCTTTGGAACTTACAGGTGCCTTCTTGTCGATGGGTTTAATGACAAACTTTTTGTCATTGAAAGAGATGTTCCTGATTTCACTCCAAGGAAAGCCAATCTTTGGGGTTAACCTGAGGTTAAAAAGAAGAAGTGGATGGTTAGATGTATACATATGTTCTTGGATTGGCTAAGAGAGATTCGCAAATCAATTCTTATTAGTTCAATTAAAATAATATGAAGCTAACCCAAGAGGCACAATGTGTTATATGCTATTATCAAATAGTTCCCACCTGTCCTAGGTTAAGCCAAGTGGTTGGCTGCAAGGCATCTGCAACCTTAATCTGTTCCCATTTCCTTTGGTTTTTCCTCAGTCTAGGGCACCTATGATTACCCAGGCTGGTGATCTCGAGGTCAACTGAAATTCCTACCCAGGTACCTTGACCCTCCCCCTCAGGTATCTTCTGCTGTTCATTCCCACATCACATCACCACACTCACCTACCTCTCATCCTGCCAGAGCCCACTCTCAAGCTGTGTGCTGGAGCAGCCCTACTTTCAGTCTGCTGATCTGATTAATTTCCTCTCCTCCCATGTCAACACAGTCCTTAACTCAGCATCCAAGAGCTGTCAAATCCAGCCCCAAACTCCACGGTTCAGACCCACCTTTCAACACACAGTTCCCCAGGGCTGCCTCCCTTTCCCTTGAGGCCTCTCTTAACATACAGGCTCTTCTGCTACAGACTGTTGAATGTTATTTAAGTTACTGATCATTTAGTTCTATGAAACCAACAGGGAGGGCCAAGATCCCATCACGTTCCTAGACGTGCCATACTCAACAGAGCTTGCCAAGAGAAACGGACAGAGGCCTTGCTATGCATTCTGCTCCTCTGGTTCTCATTCCAGTGTGTGTTCTCCTGGCTGGACAGACATCTTCCCATGTCACTCTCCAACTTCCAGGACAGCCTTCAAACTAACCGCCCTAATGAAGGCCCCACAGGGCTAATCCTACTTAACCAATGCAATGCCATGACTGGCCAGACTCTGGCTTTTATTAGCATTCCCAAGTTCATCATGTGACTTCAAGACCACATTGCTCTGCTCACCTGACACTTCCCACCCTATTCTTCCAACACATTTTACCAGGGATAATGCCATTCTGGAAATAACGACAAATCCTCAAAACCACCATCCAACAATGCTGCCCTCCAAAGCAGTCCTTTCCAACATCCCACAAAAACCTTCATTTTAGAAGTAGCAGGAAGGTCAAGCAATCTATGGCCTACCAACAGCTTCAATACTGATGAGCAATACAGGTTTCGTTATGATCACATCAACTAGATCAAGGCAGTGGGGTGGACTCTGTAGGCTGAGGGCAAACATGTAAGCCTGACATGGCCCTTCTGGGGAATTAGCGCAGTCAGTCATGGTGTGCCTGCAGGAATGATGGCAGGACACTGGCCAGACCATGGTTCTAAATGTCAAAGCTTTTGTATACATCCTTTCTTTTACAGTGCTATGCTCTAGAATCACCAATCCCCATTAAAAAAAAACACACCTGGCATTCAAACAGACATGCAATGAGTTTGTTCTTTTATCTTCGAGATGTAATTTTCTTTACAGGTTTCAGAGCATTAAAGGGGAACTCCAGATACCACCTTGCCCTGCTACTGACTTCAGCCTATGTCCTCCTTACATTGAAAGGCTGTGAAAGTGGCACCAGGTAGGCATGTGTTGCTTCTGGAGCACTTTCTCCCAAAACACAAGAGCAGCCTGCTGGCACCAACAGAGAAGCTAGGATCCAAGCTCCGGAGGCTCCGCCCACAGCACATAGCACTGTGAGCCAGCGTGCCGCATCCTGAAACTTCAAGGGGCTGGGATCCCCTCTCCGGCTCCTGTCTCTACACAGGACTCTCAAAACAGGTTCTGACCTTAGAAAATTTAGGCCTCCGGCTCTCTGGTGTGCCTAGAAAGTTTTTCCTCTTAGGACTTTGAAACCTCATATAACAATTCATAGCCACTCATAAGCATAACTGCAGTATCAAAACAAAAAGGTTAAACATGAAAATTATGACTCACTTTTGAGTTAAAGAACTTTTAATTCTTGACCAAAGTTGGAAAATTAAAGCCCAAGGATTTCCTTTTTCCTAAGAGATCACATATAGGACATGAACAGGGTCTACAGAGAAGGTGGCCACAGGGTTTATAAGTGTCCTTGCTTAGGCCACACATTAAAAAAGCGTGATTCTCCAATAACAGGGACCAGACAGAGGCCTTTGGAGAAATGGCTGATTCCAGGACTAGAACAGGGAACACAAAGGATGAACCTGGTGCATCTCGAGGAGCCAGGCAGCAAGGAAGCCTGCAAAGAATGCAGGGCTCACACTTCAAGGTGCTCCTAAAGGCCAAATCTCAAACAACCTGAGCAAGAAGATACATACTCATAGATCATAACCCAAAGACCGAAACACATATCCATGAGTCCATATTAATATAACTGAATAAATGGAGAACAGAAATTGGCTCCTTATAGAATTCCAATTAATACACGTAAAAAGTTTTTAAAAATCACAATTTCTCAAATACCACAGTAATCTCATCAATGGTAGCTAGAACTAGGACATCTACATAGTTTAAAATTATCTCCCCCAAATATACTGACCAATTGTAAAGGGAAGGATAGTGATTTTACAGTGGAGAAACGTGGCAGACACCACCTTAACTAATAATCAAAATTAGCACCACCTAAGATAAGATATACCGACCACATGTGCCACCTTGAAAGAGGTCCTGGAAGGGCAAAACAGCACTTTATTCTTACCAAAAATGTAAAACTCCAAATAATGAGAAAACACCAGACAATCCAAGCTGAAGGGCTTTCCAAAGTCAATGGCCAGTACTCTTCAAAAATACCAAGGTCATGACAAAAAAAGACTGGAACTATCCCACATCGAAGGAGACAGGGAGGTCTGACAACTAACTGTGTGGCTCCAGAGAGGGTCCCGGGGCAGAAATAGGACATCAGTGAGACAACTGATTAAAATGGGAATGAGGTCTAGAGACTGCTAATGTTAATTTTCTTATCTTGGTATTTGGACTACGGTTACATAAGGTGTTAATGTTTGAGGAAGCTAAGTGAAGGGTATATGGGAATTATTTGTACTATTTTTAGAATCTTTTTAAAGTTTGAAATAATATATATATTTTAAATTGAGATGGGGTCTTACTCTGTCACCCAGGCTAGAGTGCAGTGGCACAATCTTGGCTCACTGCAGCCTCCGCCTCCCGGGCTCAAGTGATCCTCCCACCTCAGCCTCCCAAGTAGCTAGGACCACAGGCATGCACCACCACGCCCAGCTAATTTTTTGTACTTTTGGTGGAGACGGGGTTTTGCCATGTTGGCAAAGACCAGCCCAGGCTGGTCTTGAACTCCTGAGCTCAAGGGATCTACCTGTTTTAGCCTCCCAAAGTGCTGGGATTACAGGTATGAGCCACCATGCCCAGCCTGAAATGACTTTAAAATGCAAGAATGGGCCAGGCATGGTGGCTTACACCTGTATCCCAGCACTTTGGGAAGCCAAGGTGGGCAGATCATTTGAGGTCAGGAGTTTGAGACCAGCCTGGCCAACACAGTGAAACCCCATCTCTACTAAAAATACAAAAATTAGCCAGGAGTGGTGGCATGTGCCTGTAATCCTGGCTACTCGGGAGGCTGAGGCAGGAGAACCGCTTGAACCCAGGAGGCAGAGGTTACAGTGAGCTGAGAATGTGCCATTGCACTCCACCCTGGGTGACACAGTGAGATTCCATATCAAAAAAAAAAAAAAAACCAAGAATGATTAAAAAATGTAAATCCAAAATATGTAGCTGAGTGTGATAATGTTCTACATGTCTTAAGATTTTGCATTTTTCAGGCATATTTGTCAGAACTCAACAAATGAACACTTAAGATTACATTTCATTGTATTTAAATTTTACATCAAAAGAACAAAACATAACCAACCTCTAGTATATCATATGCACTTTCATTTTGAGGAAGGATATGGATGCCTGCAGTTTTCTTGGAAATGTGTTAGAGGGCCAGAGGGTGACAGTGGAGTGCATACGGAAAGAGACGTGAGAAAGCAAGCGAAGCCCTGAGTACCTATCCGCAAGGAATTTAAAGAAGAGACATGTTCTGTGGCTCCTGTTTCAGTCCCCAAGCTCCCCGTGCACCCTTTCCCTTTAAGGTGGAAGCCCTGGACCTAGTGCATTTCCAGAAACTCCTACCTACAGAAGGACTTCTATGATGAAATCTGCCCAAAGAGGGATGAAGCTAAGGGAGAAAAAGTGCTTTTACAGGACTAAAGATCAGGTTCCTCTAGTTTTTGTTAGTTTTTGTTTTTGGTCCGAGTGTCAGGTTTCAAATTGTAACCCAGCTAAACTGAACTTCCTCTGTTCACAAGCTTACAATGCCTGTCAGGAGGGCGCTTACCTGTTTTTGCCCTCTTTATACTCCCACCTATTCCAAGCTAAGGGTTTAAAGAAAGATGACAAATAGTCCTACATGCTCCCACTTAATGCTTATGTGTACAATGAAAAGGGAACCCCAAGAGACAGATTTCCCAGCCAGACCCTATTTAATACTAAAACAGGTGTTTTAATAGAGACTTTACTTGCAGAGTATAAATCTCTTAGAGCTCAATTTCCATATTCAATAGATCAGCTTTCTCACCTGAACAATGTTTCAGGCATATCTAATTCTCCTAGTTCTACCGAGAGAGGTAACAGCGCAACAGCTGGCGAGTTCTCAGCACTCCTCAGACTTCAGGACAGTCTCCTGCTTATGCTGCTACCAAGTTGTCAATATTTGTTCAAAAGGGAAAGAATTTGGGCCTATTAAATGACTGAATATCTACATAAATGCTTTTTTCATGAAGAGAGGGGTGTGCCTTCAGGAATGGGGAGAAGAGAGGCAGAAAGTGAGCCTGCCCAACACCCCAGCATGCTCTGTGGGGAAAGAACCATCTGAGAGAGTTGCCACGTTCATCGCTCAATGGTGGGGGAGGGGGAGCAGAGCGCAAAAACAGCACTAAATAGGGCACACAGCTCACGTTTTTACTTGGAAGAAATGGACACTTACGTGGGCTGGGGCAGTTACAAGCTGACATCAGCAAGTTCCTGCCCATGGCTGTTTTCCTGCAGGTTGAAAAACCTGTTTGGACAGCCCTGGCCTGGCCACGTTACAAAATCTGGTCATTGAAGAGATTTCCAAGGCAGAGGCAGTTTCCCACATACGTTCCCACGAGGACTTTGTGCACTGCTCCTTGGCATGGCTGTCTTAATAGCCACGGCTTCAGCTCTAGGGTCTCCCGGAAAGATGGTGTCCTGGTTCCAAGTACCCACTTTCCCCACTTCTTTAAAATTTTTTTTGAGACACGGTCTCGCTCTGTCACCCAGGCTAGAGTGCAGTGGCGCAATCTTGGCTTACTACAACCTCTGCCTCCCAGGCTCAAGTGATCCTCCCACCTCAGCCACCTGACTGAGACCACAGGCGTGCACCACCATAGCCAGCTAATTTTTTAAATTTTGGTAGAGACGGGGTTTCGCCATGTTCCCCAGGCTGGGCAAGACTCCTGAGCTCAAGGGATTCGCCTGCCTCGGCCTCCCAGAGTGCTGGGATTCCAGGTGTGAGCCGCTGTGCCTGGCTTTTCCGTGCTTCTTTACCAATGCTGCATCCAGCACACTTGGAGTAGGAGCGAACCGAGAGTCCTCAATATCTCATTTCCAGGTTCTCTGAGGAGCTCCTGTGACAGCGCCTGCCTCCCTCCCTGTGCAGTATCACCACGTGGGCCCCGGAGGTGAGAGGAGGTTGGGCACAGCTGGCACAGGTCCCTGACTTGCCCAAGTGAAATAGATCTGTGCCCTGGGGTCTGGCAGGAATCCGCGTGGTTGCAAATGGAGATGGACTCATGCAGGTCATTTGTGGAAAGCAGCACCACTCCCTTTGAGAACTCCAGAGAGGGTTTTGGGGGAACCTGAGATGTGGGGATGCTGAGAACAAAAATATCTGAGAACAGATGAGATGGGTGAGCCTCAAGTGGGAAATGGGGAGAGCTGTCATTTCAAGGAACAGCATGAGGCTGGGAAGGAAACCGGTACATCCAGGAACTCTGGGCCACTCTGCTCTTTACGTGGAAAGCAGGAACCCAGGCCAAAAGGCAGGGCTTGGCAAAAAGACCCCAGGAGCATTCTTGCCCTGGCACCTTCTCTGCCAGGCCCCTGAACCTGGTGGCCATCAGATGATTTGTTTCGGGGAGCCCTGCAGAGCAATCAGGCTGACTGTGGACAATCAGGGCAGAGACGGTAGTCAGGAGGCAGTCAGGAGCCTCTCCCTTCTCTTTCCAGAGGTAGTTTCCTTCTGCCTCTTAAATTCAGGTAGCTTCTGATCAGATCAATCCAGAATCTAGGATTATGCTGATGTCGCAGACTCACCATGGGAAACTTGCCCTCATGAACTAGGATGACTTTCCCTGTTTATCCTCAGCAGAAAGAAGGCAAATGCCCTGTATGTGAAAGCGGAACTGCCTGTCCCTGTGGAGAGGCCTGGCTCTGCTGCTCTACCCAGCTTGCTTACAGGCCCTCACTCAACAAACAACGTAACTAATGCGAGGCAATTAAGATATCTCCTGCAGACTCCCAGCATTTAGCTCAAGTGTCTACACGTACAGGCTATTGTTTACAGCTTTTCAAGTCTCTCATCACACCATCAATATTCTTGGTTGGATTAGCACAAACCTCGAGCCAGGAGTCGAGCACTGGCTGGGCTGCCTGCGAAGTAGCTATGGATGGATGTGCTGGTACCTGCAGGCAGCTGGGGTGGAATCTCAGAGGCAGCGGGGAGGAGAGGCAGCCTCTGCTCTATTCTGCCTTCCTCTACCAGGACTGAGCCCACTATCGGCCCCGCCCACCATGAGAGAGGATAACCCACACCTCTGGACCACCCTTTGAGAGGGCCACAGCAGTCCAAAAGCCCTTTAAAAAGTTTCCTACTTTGGGATAGTAAGTTGCTAAATAAATACTTCAAAAATAACCCACAAATTTGCCATTTTGCCATTGTTTCCAGGCCCACCACCCTACCTACTGAAGATAACTGTGAACTTCAACTCACTTATCATCTTTCTCATAAATATTCAGTCCAAGGGCATCAACTCCAAGCCAAAGGTCTGTTCCTTTCTTGTTTTTTATCTCGAAATAGTTGATTCCATACATTTCCAGGTCCTGAGCAATCTTCAGGTATTCCAACATAGCATTATCTCTAATTGGGGAGAGTGAAACAGGCAGAGTCACTGGTAGCACTCAATATCTAGAACAGTAAAACCTTTCCAGTATTTTTAAATTAAGGCGCCTTGTGTAGGATGGGCTCAATGCTGTGTGCTGCGTGCAGGCAGGCAGGGGCCGGGCAGCCGACCGGTGAGGAGGGGACCCATACAGCCCAGAAGCTATGCCTGGGGTGGGGTCCGTGCTGCCCTGGAGCCTCACCACCAAACCCCACACTTTGAAGAAGAACTGATTCACACTGGTTTCTCTAACAGGTTTTTAAGTTTTATCACTCAGCACAATCCTCCTTTTTCTCTTGCCCACACATGTCTTCCCACAACCCTCCTCATAGGCTTTGAGTTGTTTTCCTTCCATAAAGGATGTTTGGGCCAGACAGGAAACCCTGAAGCACAAAATCTGAGGCTCAAACCTCAAACAAACTTCAGAGGCTGAAATAATGCAGACTCGCAAGACTAGGCCAGAGACAAGGCTCTAGGACGAGAACACCCAGAATCAGGTGGCTCGGCCATGTCTTACATTAACAGCCCCACGTCCAGGTTCTCTGACATCAGCATTTCTCACTTGGGATCCTTTTTCATTTATATACACTTTGTAAGACAAGTACCTTCATATAATGAGCAAACCAGCATCTCTTTGACAGAATAATGCTGATTGCAGGTGAACAATGCCCCTCTGACTAAGATGAAGTTTAGACACAACACTTTCTACAAAGGGAGGGTGTAAGCTTTTAGAACCTGAAGGCTTGAGCTAAACTGCTTCTTTCCCCAGGCAAGACACCTGGCTTTGTTTAAAAAAAACCTCTTCCCTAAGAAAACCCCACTTTTAACTCGGTTCCCTCAAGGTCTTCACAAGGCCTGACACAGAGCCCTTTAAAGCACTAACTAGAGTCACAGGAAAAGACATGCTGGAGCGCACGGAGATGGCAAGATCCCAACAGCAGGGCACAGCACTCACTTGAGCATCCCACGGTGTTCCGCATGCCACACCTGGATCCGGTCCTCCCACTGGTCCCTGGTAAGTTTGTGCTGGTCCATCACTCTGGAATGCAAAAGGAAACAGCACTGTCATCCTTAAGGAATGTGACAGGCAAGGAAGGAGGCCCACTTACCACCCACATTCAAACCCTTACTTTCCATTCAAATCAATCAATCCCAAAGAGCTTTGGTTTCTATTTCCTGATGTGCAGCATTTCTATTTATGACAGTTAATCTGGAAGACTTAGCATTTTGAACAAGAACTCAGTTCTGCTGGAAAAACTAAGAGGTATTTTAAGTGGCCTCTTCTTCCAAATGGGGTAATTTTTGTGACCATTACTAAATAAAAACAGATTTCACAGGGGCAACCTATCATACCCCAGGAGGAGCTGAGCAGTCAGGTCGAGAAGTTTGCTATGCCATGTCCCACAGGACACGGCCACGCTTTAGTTTCCATGAGGAATGGCAGCTCGCCTTCCCTGGCTATGTTTCAGGTCGCTGGTCAGTGACTTAATGACTAGCATGAAGGAGCACTTGACACTGGCGAAGTCCTTGTGTTTTTAAACTGTGCTTCTAAGGCAATCACTTCTCCCTGCCGAGGACGGCATGACTGCTCCTGCCCAGGCCGGGTCATCCTGTGCTCACCTTTGAGGGATCAGCCGCTCAGAGCTGAGGTACCCAGACTTGTGCACTTCTTTGTTGTAGTCCCCAAACTTGGCCTGCACAGCGTAGGACCCCAAGAGCACGGCAGTCTCAGGGGGGCAGTAGATCTCATCGCTAAGGATTCCTTCCTTCACTTGGAGGAAGAAAAGTTTCTGGGTGATGTCCTGGATGAGCTCCTCAGCCACATCTTCAGGGTAGAACTTGGCCCGGAACTTGAACTGGAGGGGATTCTCCTTCCTGACCTCCTGGGCAGACACCTGCACGAAACAAGCCACACTCTCCACACAAATCCGGAAGACGAAGGCCCACTGTCCCCAACACAGGCTTCTAACCAAGACTCAATGGGGCCCTCAAGCCAGTTTTCAGGAGATATTTATTCTTAAAGTCATCTTTTTAGCACTCCAGACAAAAAAAGGTTAGTCAAAAGTGCTACCACAGGCCAGACATGGTGGCTCATGCCTATAATCCCAGTGCTTTGGGAGGCCAAGGCAGGAGGATCACTTGAGCCCAGGAGTTTAAGACCAGCCTGGGCAACGTAGAAGAGATCCCATCTCTACAACATTTTTTAAAAAAAAGTTAGCTGGGGATGGTGATGCATGCTTATAGTCCCAGTTACTCAAGAAGCTGAGCAGGAGGAACCCTGGAGCTCAGGAGTTCGAGACTGCAGTGAGCTATGATGGCGCCACTGCACTCCAGCCTGGGTGACAGAGCAAGACCCTGTCTCTTCTTAAAAAACAACAACAAACAAACAAAAACAAAAAAACAGGCCAGGCATGGTGGCTCACGACTGTAATCCCAGCACTTTGGGAGGCTGAGGTGGGCGGACCACGAGGTCAGGAGTTCGAGACTAGCCTGACCAACATGGTGAAACCCCATCTCTACTAAAAATACAAAAAAATTAGCCGGGCATGATGGCATGCAGCTGTAGTCCCAGCTACTTGGGAGGCTGAGGCAGGAGAATCACTTGAACCCAGGAGGTGGAGGTTGCAGTGAGCCAAGATCGTGCCACTGCACCCCAGCCTGGGCGACAGAGCAAGACTCCATCTCAAAACAACAACAACAAAAAACAAACAAGTACTATCACACTCTTGTGCTCAGCTGGAAATCAAAGCTACTGCCTCACTAAGCCCCAGTCCTCATGGGATGATGCTATCAATCCTGGAGAACTCAAATTTGGAAATGACCCCAGTGACCTGGAATGGGGCCACATGCCAATCGGGCCCTGGACCCCGAAACTTACTGTTAAGAATTCCTCCTGCTCCTCCACTCTTCCCCACCTCCCATCATCTTTTTAACTTGTTGCTGTGACTTGGGAGGACAGTGGGGGTTTCAAAAAAAAAAAAAAGGATAATTTTCAGAGTTTGAAGAAAATGTTTATCTTACTACTTTTCTTTTTGGTTGGTTAATGGAATTATCCACTCTTTAAAGTTGGAAGATAATCTGTCACAGGTTCAAACAAAGCAATAACAGGTTCTTACAAGATGGTGGATGATTCACAGTTTATAAGATTAACAATCTCATTGAAAAAACTAAGGTCAACTAAAAGCTATGCAATTAACCATCATATGCTCCAATGAGTGAGCACTATGGAGAAATGCCAGATCTGATTTCCAATCGATATCTCCATTTACTGGAAACCTGCAACCTTTTTGTCTGTAAAAACTTTTACACAAACAAAAAGGAACAGAAAACAAAAGACAGGGTGAGTTGCTCCAGTTTCCTTATCGATGAAGCAGACCAACACCCAATCCACAGCCTGTAAATAGTTAATCCTGACTTGCCTTCTTATCCAGCTTCAGCCAGGTAGGAAATCCTTTATTATCCACATAGTGGAGGCCAAAGTACCACACTTCCCGGAGGCCGATAGTCTTTACCACCTGCGTGAGAGAGAGAGAGGCTCAACACTCATGAGAAACTCACTCAAAAGGGCAACAGCTTTTGGCTGTCGTTCATCACATGGTCTAGCAGAGTCCCCAGGAAACCAGGACATCTGCTCAGTCCAACCACTGGGCAACATCTTTTTTTGCACTCAAATAACTTGTTACTAACTGAGGCTATTATCTCAAAGCCATGAACGACTTATTTTTAATATAAATTTGAGCAGATTCAGGGTTCTACCTTCAAATCTTAGAAAATCTCACTCCTACTCCTTTGTACTCCAGGATGCTCTCCTGCATGAAACTCAGCAGGGCGGGTTATGGCCAGCACACACAGAACCATGGGAGCCCACAGCCCCCCAGGGAACAGTGCGGTGGGTGCATCGCTGCCGGTCAGGTGTGCTCATGCAGAAGACTAAAGCATCCAGTGCCACACCTGAGCCTCCTCTGGCTGCCTGCCTCTGCCTCTCAGCCAGCTGGCCCAGGGGTCTGACTTACTAGGAACAGGGACAAAGAAATCCTAGGAAAGGCAGGAAAACAGGCAAGGCAGACTTCTGGGACGGAAGGGTGTCAATGCACAGGGGTGCCCAGAGGAACCTGCATCTTATAGACCTCCAGAAATGGGACATTCTGATACAGCAAAGGTAGAATCCCGACCCTAGGTCACAGCAAAGATTTCACATTTTCAAGCCTCTGTTGTGCATTACAGGAGTCCTGAGCTGCTTAGTCTCACGACTGTCTTGTAAACAGAAAAGCAGTGATAGTCGAACTTGCTGTGGACATTTGTTGAACATCATCTAAACCGAGTCCCAGACAAGTTCGACTATTTACATATACATAGATGTCTAATTTAAAATCCCATGATATATAATGTTAAACTTTAAAAAATGCTACCATCCTTCAAATACATGGCTTCTATCATATTTAATGCCAAAGAGGGTTGAATACATTAGAAATGACAACTCAGGTATACAGAGCATTTGCTTAAAGTAAATCCTAAAATTCCAAATTAACTCCTGATCTGGGCCTGTTTCTTCATCTGAAGGGTGCAGGGAGGCCAGAGGCTCCCTAAAGCTCTAGAAGTCTGTTTATTAAATGCCCAGGACTGACCTGTTCTTCCCCCTCTTCCCACTCACCCAAAAGGGATGGGGGAAGGCTGCAAGCTGAGCGTGGTGGCTCACACTTGTAATCCCAGCACTTTGGGAGGCCAAGACGGGTGGATCACTTGAGTTCAGGAGTTCGAGACTAGCCTGGCAAACATGGCGAAACCCTGTCTCTATTAAAAATACAAAAATTAGCAGGGCGTGGTAGCATGTGCCTGTAATCCCAACTATTCGGGGAGCTGATGCAGGAGAATTGCTTGAACCTGTGAGACAGAGGTTGCAGTGAGCTGAGATTGCACCATTGCACTCCAGCCGGGGCAACAGAGTGAGATTCAGTCTCAAAGAAAAAAAAAAAAAACAACGCTGTATTTGAAGCAGCTGTTATTGGGGAAAAAAGTATTTAATAAGTAAGTAGTAATATCACTAATAAATACTTGATTTAAAAAAATCTTCCAATTTTAAAAAGTGAATTATTTCTCTAAATCTTCATTTCTTCCTTTCATAGATGTTCAGGTACGATCACTTAGAAATGAGAAGCTGCAGCAACTGAGACAACTAAGGCTCACTCATCCACGCAGTGAGAGGGGTTCTACTCTGGAGGTGGAGGCAGCTGCGGGTAGGAAGCCGCGTCTCTAATACAGGGTGAGAGACACACAGGCCAGCACCTCCTTACAATGACAAGCACAATAACTCTCTTTTCAGTCCTTTGCTTCCATGCCTGGTAACACACTGAATCCGCCTGACTTTATACAACAGACAGCTGTGTGCTTTCATACACCTCACTTCCTAGGCATGATATACTTGTCTGTTAATGCATTTTATAATGCTATCATGAAATACTTTCACCTTTTAAAAGATCCTTCTCATCTATTACCTCAAGTGAGTAAAACAAGGTAATATGCTTCGCAAACAAAATAACTGAAATGTTGCAAAACAGTTTTTTTTTGTAGGTGGAGTTAACTCTCAAGTTCAGAGACCAACCTGATCAAAAAGCTGTTTTCCAGTTGTATTTGGCTGGATTGCAAACTCCAGCTCTGCATCCATGGTGGTAACTCGGACATTGATCTGAAAAACAGAATGAAACAAATTACGCTTAACTGAGTATTCTTTTCTTCTAATAACCTCCTGCACCTTCTACATAAGCTGCTCCTCAGTGTGGCGACGGCATATGCCTGACATCAGTTCCTGTGCTAGTCAGGAAGCCACACACCACTCCTGACTGCAGATGGCTGGGGATGTCTCAGGAGGCACACAGTGCAAACCAAACGCAGCTTCTTTGCTTTAATAAAGCACACTGACACTTAGGTCTAAGCAGTTTTTCTCTTTTCTTTGAGACAGGCTCTTGCTCTGTCACCCAAGCTGGAGTGCAGTGGCACGATCACAGCTCACTAGTCATGATCTCCCAGGCTCACACGAACGCCTCCCACCTCAGCCTCTTGAGTAGCTGGCACTATAGGTGCCACCATGCCTAGCTCGTTTTGTTTTTTACTTTTTGTAGAGACGGGGTCTCACTATGTTGCCTAGGCTGGTCTTGAGCTCCTAGGCTCAAGCAAGCCTCCCATCTCAGCCTCCCATAGTGCTGAGATTATAGGCATGGGCCACCCTGCCCAACCTAAGCAGTTTTTTTCTTTTTTGTTAAAACAATACTTTAACCTATTTTTCCATGCACCATCTCATATGAGCCTTACGACAGCCAAGGGAGGCAGGAGGGCTCCCAAGGCACCAAGGAAGTCAGAGAAGGGAAGAGAGAAAGAGCTTTGAATCAGAAGGTTTGAAGCAACCTTAGAAACCATAGTGAGAGAGAAATGGTGAAATGTCCAAAGACACATCAAAAATGGATTATGTAGTGATATTAAATTATAATTACGAAAATAGTAGAAACTGGGCAAATTGCTTCTGAAATAAAAAATACGACAAGCAACACTCAATGCAAATGTGAACTCTGTTTAGACAAGACATGAAAATAAAATGTAAAAATGGAAATAGTATGAGGATGGTGAGACACAGAATTGAGGAGGTGGAGATGGGAGGGCCTTAAAATATTTCTAATGTTGCCATGTAGTTGTTTTAAAAAAACAAAACACTGTCGGGCGCATTGGCTCACACACCTGTAATCCCAGCACTTCGGGAGGCCGAGGCAGGTGGACCACTTGAGGTCAGGAGTTCAAGACCAGCCTGGCTAACATGGTGAAGCCCTATCTCTATTAAAAATACAAAATTAGCTGGGCATAGTGGCGCACGCCTGTAGTCCCAGCTACTTGGGAGGCTGAGGCAGGAGAATCGCTTGAACCCAGGAGGCGGAGGTTGCAGTGAGCCAAGATTGTGCCACTGCATTCCAGCCTCGGCTCCGGAGCAAGACTCCATCTCAAAACAAACAAACAAAAAAAACCCACCACCACAACAACAAAACAACCCACTTACATCAAGGCAGTTTTCAAATTTATCACTTGAGAAAACCCAGATTTACTAAAGTGTATGAAAAACACTCAAATCTGGCTACTTTATGTCACTGTCCCAAAGAAAACAGCAGAGCCACATAGCAACTATAATGCTTAATATTAAGAAATGCTTGCTTCTCACCATTTTTCAAGTGAAATATACAGAAGCTGGAGAGATACCTATCCCGGATTCTTCCTAACACAGGTGTAAATGTAATAAGGACGTATTACCTGTGCCAGTATATGGCGACAGAGGTTTCGTTATCCAGCCAGGGAACCAGAAATATTAAGCACTCACCAAATGTCACTTCCTACTTCAGGAACATAATTAGTCTCCCCAGCCGCTCCCACCCCGTCCCAATAACATTTAAGACTATGACTGAGAGATCCTCTAACATGCATCCAATATGCCCTTAAAGGCTCCCCGACTGGTACAACAAGTACAGAAGTATCGTTTTCCAGATCTTGTTTCAAAAGTTTTCTCCACAATCCCCAAGTCCAGAAGTTAAAGAACTCAAGTTTACTAGGAGGCAACGAGACATGTTTTAAAGTCTTTAATCATACTAAAATATAAAAACCTACTTTTCTTTCATTTCCTGCTGGTAATTTTTTTAAAATCACAAAATGGCTGTTATGAAGCATAAAATAAAAGCACGCATTTCTCTCAATTATGGTTCCAAGGGCATGTATTAGAGATGGGAAAACCAGCCCCAAGTCAAATATCTCAATAACAAATGCAGCTCCAGCTACATACACAGAAGCCAACAATGACATAACACACTAAAACTAAAGTGGAGGGGCGTTTGCTCACAAATGCAGAACCCTGGATATGCCACCTTTCTTTCTCTGCTATCTACTGGTTCAGAAGTGGGAACCCCAAGTACAATTAGAACTGAAGGCCACTGTCTGGTTAGGACAAAGACAAATGACCAGAGTCCATGCACACGAGATTTCAGACTCCATTTTTTTTTTTTTTTTTTTTGAGACAGAGTCTTTCTCTGTCGCCCAGGCTGGAGTGCAGTGGTGTGATCTTGGCTCACTGCAAGCTCCGCCTCCCAGGTTCCTGCCATTCTCCTGCCTTAGCCTCCCGAGTAGCTGGGACTACAGGTGCCCGCCACAACACCCAGCTAATTTTTTGTATTTTTAGTAGAGACAGGGTTTCACCGTGTTAGCCAGGATGGTCTCAATCTCCTGATCTTGTCATCTGCCTGCCTCGGCCTCCCAAAGTGCTGGGATTACAGGCGTGAGCCACCGCGCCCGGCCCAGACTCCAAATTCTAAACCTGAGTCTCTTCTAAGTTTGAAGACAGTGTGAAAATGACATCTCCTGAAACCAAAGCTAATAATTAACATTAAAAAGATATTAAGCATTTTGCAAACTGACTAGCAGGAATTTAGAATAACTTATTTTTGGTTCTGAAACAGTTTCATATCTGACTGAAAGTTCACACAACCCTTTTAAAAAGCAATTAACTTGTTTTCTTTTTTTGAGATGGAGTCTCCTCTGTCGCCCAGGTTGGAGTGCAGTGGCATCATCTCAGCACTGCAACCTCTGCCTCCTGGGTTCAAACGATTCTCCTGCCTCGGCCTCCCAAGCAGCTGGGATTACAGATGCCAGCCACTACACCCAGCTAAATTTTGTAATTTTAGTAGAGACAGGGTTTCACCATGTTGGCCAGGCTGGTCTCAAACTCCTGACTGTGCCTGGCCTGAAAAAGCAAGTAACTTGTAAAACGGATACTTTTACTGAGGTTGGTTTTAACAACCCAGTAGCGTGTAGAAAGTGAACTTAAAAATTGGCTGGGCACAGTGGCTCACGTAATCCCAGCACTTTGGGAGGCCGAGGAGGGCAGATCACGAGGTCAGGAGATGGAGATCATCCTGGCTAACACGATGAAACCCCATCTCTACTAAAAATAGAAAAGATTATCCAGGTGTGCGGGCGCCTGTAGTCACAGCTACTCGGGAGGCTGAGGCAGGAGAATGGCATCAACCCGGGAGGTGGAGCTTGCAGTGAGCCAAGATCGGGCCACTGCACTCCAGCCTGGGCAACAGGGCAAGACTCCATCTCAAAAAAAAAAAAAAGTAAGCTACTGAGAAGTTCTGCATGAGTCAACAAATCTACACCTCCTAACAAAAGGACTTCATCTGAGCACCAGCAGCTCCAACACAATGCCAACTCTTAGCTGGTCCGATCATTCCACAAAATTTTTTACCTATGCTCCAACACCCATGGGCAATCATTCCCTATGGTACGCAACCTCAAACAATTATTGCAAGTCTAAAGATCAGGGAGGCCAGGCCCATTGGCTCATGCCTGTAATCCCAGCACTGTGGGAAACCAAGGCAGGCAGATCACTTGAGTCCAGGAATTTGAGACCAGCCTGGGCAACAAGTCAAGACCCCATCTCTCTACAAAAAATCATTCAGGCTGGAGTGCAGTGAGCTATGATCGAGCCACTGCACTCCAGCCTGAATGAAAGAGTGAGATCCTCTTTTAAAAAAATAAAAATGATGATCAGGGAGTTGTTCTGGCACTGCAGTAATAAAACTAGGACCAGCAATAGGAATCCATTGGCCCTGTTAAAAGGAATAATTTCCAGTTCTGATTTGGGGACACACCAGAACCTTAAGAACCCCTTCTTAGAATCACAGTTTTAATATATATATATATTCATACATAGGGCAGGCTCTACAATCTGTATCTTTACATAGAGATTGAAGAGAAGATACTCAAAATCTAAACAGGTAAATGAATACTATGTTAATGAGCTGCTTTAAGTTAAAGGGCATGTCTGTTACTTGATTAGTCATTACCCTACTAGTGTTTCCCACTGGGGGTGCTCTTGTCATTCTGGACAGCACAAGTATTCATTCTGCAAGACTATCCCAAGCACTCAGGAACGTTTAGCATCCTTAAGCCATCCAATGACTGAGTGTCCCCAGTCACTGGAACATCTAAAAGCAACCCCATCCACACACACATTTCCAAATGCTCTATGGGGAAAAGGGAGGAGATCCTCCCCAGATTAAGTACCACAGCATGGCACTGCCTTACCCTACTGCATGATAAACAGTTCCATGTTTAGAAAGGCCAATTATTTTCAATGTTATAGATAAAATAATGTGCTACAATACAGCATAAGCTTTCACCAAAATTTAAAATGAGACATTCACTGAGATGACAGGACCATTTACATACATACTTTGTCTACTTATCCAAGGGCTTGGGGAAAAAAAACAGACTTTGGGGCCACATGCAGTGGTTCACGCCTGTAATCCCAGCACTTTGGGAGGCCAAGGTGGGTGGCTCACTAGAGGTCAGGCGTTCGAGACCGGCCTGGCCAACACAGTGAAGCCCCGTCTCTACTAAAAATACAAAAATTAGCCGGGCGTGGTACCACGTGCCCATACATAGTCCCAGCTTCTTGGGAGGCTGAGGCAGGAGAATTGCTTGAACCTGGGAGGCGGAGCTTGCAGTGAGCAAGATCGCGCCACTGCACTCCAGCCTGGGTGATACAGCGAAGACTCAAAACCACCACAACCACCACCAGCACTACCACCAGCACCAGCACCAGCACCACCACCACCAGGCTTTGGCAATTGAGAAAACACATCTAAATCCCAACTTTCCATTTTATTATCAGGGTGTTAGGTTTCCCTCATCAGCAACTGTTTTTAGTGAACTCAACATATTTGAATGCCAACTGGTTCTTGTATCTTCAATAATGCCAGAGGAATAAGATGGTACTGGGACTGTATGATTCTGATACACACAAGGATTGTCCCATAAAAAACTCAAGTCCATGGGCTTAAACACACCACCACACATATCCAAACTATGTGCAGACTGGAGAAAAAGAGCGCGTGGTCTGCAGTTTTTATTGTCTTAGTAATTCCCCTCAGATTACACAGTTATCAAAAACGGTGTTCAGTGAAGGCAACGCAATCACGTGTAGTACAGGTGTGTGTATAGTAAGCAGTTAGTCATCCAAGATCTACCCAAAAAAGGGCAATATTTCTCCCAGGCTTGCCAAAATATTAAAAACTTTTAAAAGTTATGCTTAGCTTGGGGGTGTTGGTGGTGATTTAAGTTTAACTTTACTCCTGTACCACTACCAAGACAAAAAGAACCATGTGGTTGACGGTACAGATGAAGCTAATGAAAAACCAATACTGTTTATACTCTCCCTTTGCTTAATAATCTACTCTTTAAAAAAGTCTAGGCCAGGCGCAGTGGCTCACACCTGTAATCACAGCACTCTGGGGGGCCAAGGCAGGCAGATCACTTGATGTCAGGAGTTCAAGACCAGCGCTGGCCAACATGGTAAAACCCCATCTCTACTAAAAATATAAAAATTAGCCAAATGTGGTGGCACACACCTGTAATCCCAGCTACTCAGGAGGCTGAGGAGAGAGAATCGCTTGAACCTGGGAGGCGGAGGTTGCAATGAGCCAAGATCACGCCACTGCACTCCAGCCTAGGTGACAGGGTGAGACTCCATCGCAAAAAATAAATAAATAAATAAATAAATAATTCTATTTGTTGGCCAAATATAATGGCTCAGGCCTGTAATCGCAGGACTTTGGGGAGCCAAGGCAGGAGGATCTCAAGGCGAGGAGTTTGAGACTACCCTGGGCAACATAGCAAGAACCCATCTCTAACTTTTAAAAACGTAAAAAAAAAAATTGTATTTGTGTTATTACAGGTTAGCTCAGCTCGAACTTACTATACTACAGGATGAACCACAATAGCTTTATTCTTCTAATGTTCCATGGCCACAGACTACAGGACCAACCCCTGCTAGTGGGCACCTAACATGTTCATTCGATCCACAAATACCAATTAACTACTGCAAGGTGTGCCAGGCACCTCGATGGGCACTGTGAGTACAGAGAGGCATTAGCCCTTCCTATCCCCGAGTGGCTTACACATTAATGAAGATGGGTGTGCCTCAGTGATCACACACCACAGTGCTTCCCACATCAGCCTCACCATCAGAATCCCCACAGAAGCTTTTCAAACACCCGCAGCCCAGGAAGCTGTCACTTCCACAAGTGATTTTGAGGAGGCCAAATTTGGGAATCACTGGAAGGCAAGAGACGGGAGACAGAGGGCCTGGGTTTGAGAGCTAGCTCTGTAATCTGAGGACCCCTAGCTGATGACTTCCTGCCACTGGGCCTCTACCTGATCTGCAGGTAGAGTTTGGACTAGATGGCTTGAGGCCTTTTCCCACTCTGAAATGCTAGGTTCAAAGCCCACAGGCCAGGTGTGACACAGCCAGTGCCATCGGACAGTAGAGGTGTAAGTACCCCCTGAAGGGTCTCCCTCCTTAGGGGACACATGCCAATGGAACCAGAGGTCCAATAAATACTCTCTGACCACTAGGAGAAAAGTAACCCACTAGAATGCTATTCAAGGCCAGCAAGTAGAGTGTTTTCACGGAGAAGGGACAACACACCTGTGTTCACTTTCCCAAGAAGGAAAGTACCCCTCCAGGCAGACACACGACAGCACAGGTGTTACCACTCCAATGCAACCGACATGCAAGGTGTTAAACCCCAAGCTGCTTTATTTTTAAATAAACTCAGTAACAATTCGCCTTATTAAAACAAAATAAACCCAACATCCTCTTTGCTCATTCCCTGGAGCACCTGAGCCTGGCACACAGGCCTGGCGGCAGGGGTGGCCCCAGCCTCACTCAGGCCAACCCTGTTCCTCTCCCTTGCTGCTGATATTGAGTGGCTGGAGACCATTTAATCTGTGAGCATCTTCCAGCTCGATCATTCTATGACTTAAAATCATCTTGCCTGGCTTTTGACACCATCCCAAGCCAGCAGCTATGTAGTCCTCTTTGAAATTATTTGGCTTTGAAAGGGAAAGGGACAAAAATGGGGATATGCTGTGGGGGCAGTGTTTGGAGGTCACGTAACTCTGCAGTGGTTAAGGTGGGGTTTTCTGTTTCTTCCTTCTTTAGCTGAAAGGCTGTTGCCTGTCTGCCATGTTGATGCCAACAGTGGCAGTCCAAGACGGGGCCACAGTCTCCACTTCACAGATTGTTCTGCCCACAGGTTATTTCCACGGAGCATCCCAGGGAACTAGGATTTTTCAGAATATAGTTGGGAAAACATGATTTCTGAGTCTTCCCAGTTTAATTTTATCAAAATGGCATCTTAAAATGCCTTCTAAGAGTGTAAGGAATGAAAAAGGTACCAAGTTGACAATCAAATTTTGTATTTTGCTTCTAATCTATGAATATAATTGCTGAATATTTGGCCAAATTATTTCCCAGGTATTTTCCTCATTTTGGTAAATAAATATAGGTATGCAATTTTTCCTTTGGGAAGCATCCATTTCCTCTGAATATTTTAAACTTATAGGTTACCTCTACAATCACACTTTTTACAGCATAAATTCAAACTGTAATAAAAGCCCAAGACAGGAGGGAAAAGTCCAAGATCAGTTCCTCCACAAACATTACAGGAGAGCAACCCTTGAGTCTTAGACAAAAGAACCAGATTTAATTTCAGTGGCCAGAACACTGCAGGAAAAAAGTTTGCAATAATTTTTTTATGTACTCAAAAATCAGGAAAACCATGTAAAATAAGAAAGGGAAATTCAAATGGGAGCATTTGAATGTCTGAATTTCAGGCAGTGGATTCAGTGGTTAACAGATTAATCCCTATATTATCACACCTGCCATTTACTCAAAAACCAGTCTGAGTAGAGCCATCCAGCCACCACCAAGATTACATTGCGAGCTTGACCTTCCATATCATTTAAAATGTCAACGCTGTTTTCCAACATTCCAGCCTTCTTCCGAAGGTGCCACTTCAGCAACTTTTAACAGCTTTCAAATATTTGGATAAGACCTTTCAAATACTTAGAAATGCTCTGATAGAAAGTAGATACAGTAAATTTTCTCCCACAAATGGGAGTATGATAGGGAAAATTCTTACAACCAATGATAAATGAATTAAAAACTTTGCAGCTATTTTGGTTCACTTAATTGGGTAATTATAGAGACAAAACTGTATATTTTTCCTTTCATGTTGAGTCACTATGTACTTTAAATAGCAGCTATTGAAATGTAACTTACCATAAAATTTACCCATGGAAAATGTATAATTCAGTGGTTTTTAGTATATTCAGAGTTATGCAACTGACACTGCTATCTAGTTTTGGAATAGTTTGTCAGCCCAAAAAGAAACTCCATGGCCACTGGCAGTCACTCTGCATTCCTCCTGATCCCTCAGCCCCTGGAAACCACCAATCTACTTTCTGTCTCTAAGGAATGGCCTATTCTGGACATTTCAGAGAGACAGAATTTTGTAATATGCAGTCTTTCATGACTGAATCCCATGACTTAGCATAATGTTTAAAAGGGTTATTCATGTTGTAGCATGTACCAGCACTTCATTCTTTTTTTACTGCCCAGGAATATTCCATTGTGTGGCTGTCACTTCTGTCTACCCATTCAGGTGATGGACATTTAACTTGCTCCTTGTTGCTTTTAGCAATTGCAAATAAGAAACAGCTGAAAAACAATGGCATTCAAACTAGACTGTGGTCATTTTCAAAAGAATAAAAATCTTTAGGGAGAAACAAAATGAATTTTTAAAAACTAAACTTTTTGGGTTTACTGTTTTTAAGTTCTAAATGAAAATATTCTATGTTCTTAGAAGTTGCTGGCTGCCAAACTGACACCAACACAGTAGCGGCGCTCCAATCATGCATGGCCATGCTGCACTCTGCCGCCTTAGCCCTCACTGCTTCTGGGCGCTATGGGGTGCCCCACCAGGGCAGAGCTGAGAGGCTGGCTCAGCTCTGCTTCAGAGACCTCCCTCGATGGAAAAGGGACTTAGTTTGCTGCTCCGCTTTTTTTTTTTTTTTTTTTTTTTTTGAGAAAGGGTCTCTCGCTCTGTTGCCCAGGCTGGAGTGCAGTGGCGTGATCTCAGCTCACTGCAACCTCTGCCTCCAGGGTTCAAGAGATTCTCCCACCTTAGCCTCCTTAGCTGGGACCACAGGCACCTGCCACCACAGCCGGCTAATTTTTCTATTTTTTGTAGAGATGGAGTTTCACCATGTTGCCCAGGGTGGCCTCGAACTCCTGACCTCAAGGGATCCGCCCACCTCAGTTTCTCAAAGTGCTGGGATTACAAGTGTAAGCCACTGCTCCACATTTAACTCCAATGATGCTGAGCACAACCCAGCACTCTAATTACAAAAATTTGTTTTGTTATAACTGAACATTCCCTTTCTATTTTAGACTTTCTTGGCTGAACATCTCTCTCCCCCAGCCCTATTCACGGCTGCTCACAAAAACATGACAATACCAGGCATGGTTCATGAAGTCTGGTGTGGGAAGAGGCCTGGCTCACACCCCTTTGAAGTCATTTAAGACATATGGCCAGCTGTACCTTATATGCAGCCATTCACAGGCCCTCGAGGCGCTCAAACTTGAACATGTGAAAAAAAATCACCCAGGGGCTTGTTAAAACAGTTTCCTGGACCCCAGGCTAAGGGTCTGACTCAGGTTGGGAGGGGCCTACATTTCCATGTTTACCGGCTCACAGCTGATGCCAAGGTCACGCTATGACCAACAGTGCCCGGGCGGCAGGGGGCAGAACCTGCCATCAGGAAAACGCAAAAGGACATGACCTGTTTGGCCAAGATTAATGTATTTACCTCTGCTGATTTATAATCCTTTATATAAAAACATCCTTACTAAGTCTCCATTTGTTGTACTAGCAGACAGGTTTTCTCTAATGAAACCTCAGATCACAACAGATGGACTCACATATTTTAATAGTCTCTCTGGATCCTAATCCCCTTATCTCACTGTCTCCATAAACAATATGCCAACTGAATAAATTATAGCACTAGCTATGACAGACATTGGTCGTTTTCCACAAATGCTGGCTAACAGCCAAGCTCTGTAAAACATTACCATTGACTTAGCAAACCTCAACCAGCTTAGTGCAGAAATGCAGATACTCTAATTCGGTCAAGGCAGGCAAAGCAGAAAAGCCCGAGAGGCAAGTGAATTGTCTGTAGGTTTTTTTAAAGCTCTTCTTTCTCCCCATCACCAGCCTTTTTTGGAGTGTCACAGTAATGGCTAACATTGAAAATATAACTTTGTTTCCATGTATTATATGAAGCGAACATCTTTCTTACATGAACAATGCTGCTCCCAGTAACAGACTGTTTTATATACAAAATTATATCAATGTAATTGCAATTGAAAACCCAATGACGACTTTTTACATTATTATGGTTTCCAGCAAGCATATGGTTAGAATGCCCAAGTTTTACTCCAGAAGGGCAGTCCAGAAACCACCCTGTTATAAATAACATTCTTTCAAGGACAGAGAGGGCTGAGATGAGAACCACTATGTTGCTAAAGGTATTTATCAAAATATTCAAAACATTATTAGAGAAGTAAAATAGCAAGGTGGTCCTTAAAATATTATTTTCTATTAAATGAAGTCTCTCTATATATATCATCAATTTATGACACTGACCTGACAGTATACTTGGCAAAGACATCAACACCACTGGTCAGGGCTCTTCTCTAATTCCCGCCCATAGCAGTGGCCATGTCACCAAGGAAAGGAAGGGCTAGAAGAAATTCCAGGGACACACATTTAAGCTCCCTTTTTCCTCAGAGATCCCTGTTCTGATAAGCGTTCTCTCTCAACATCAGCCTTCTTGAGCTAAGTGTCCTTGTTGACTTTTAGGAGGTGGAAATAACAGTATAAATACATGACGCTAGGCTGGGCACGGTGGCTCATGCCTATAATCCTACCACTTTGGGAGGCTGAGGCAGGTGGATCACTTGAGACCAGCAGTTCGAGACCAGCCTGGCCAACATGGCGAAACCCCATCTCCACTAAAAATACAAAATATTAGCCGGGTGTGGTGGTGCACATTGGTAATCCCAGATACACCAGGGAATAAGGCAGGACAATCGCTTGAACCTGGGAGGTGGAGGCTGCAGTGTGCCGAGATTGCACCACTGCACTCCAGCCTGGGTGACAGAGTGAGACTGTCTCAAAAAGAAAAAAAAATTGTACTAATAAAATAATCCTGAGGCATATCTGCAAATGCAATGGATGAAGATGTAGAACACGGCTACTCCTTTCTATCAAGCTTTCTGTATCTTAAATTATACCTGATTATTTTATATGACCTCTTCTTTTAAGGTTAAAGAAGAACATGAGCGCAAAGGCAAAGAAATCTTGGCCAGGCACAGTGGCTCACTCCTGTAACCCTAGCACTTTGGAAGGCCAATGTGGGAAGATCACTTGGGCCTAGGAGGTCGAGCCTGCAGTGAGCCATGCTTGCGCCACCACACTGGGTAACAGAACCCTGTCTTTTTAATTTTTTTTGAGACAGGGTCTCGCTCTGTCAAGGCTGGAGTGCAGTGGCACAATCTCGGCTCACTGTAGCCTCCACCTCCCGGGTTCAAGCGATTCTCCTGCCTCAGTCTCCAGAGTATCTGGGATTACAGGCGTGCATCACCATGCCCAGCTAACTTTTGTATTTTTGGTAGAGACGGGGTTTCACCATGTTGCCAGCCAGGCTGGTCTTGAACTAGGCAGGGTGCTGGGATTACAGGCATGAGAACCCTGTCTCCAAAAACAAACAAAAAAAATCTGCTTGTCTATCGGGCTCAGGAAAATGTTCAGATGCCAAAGGCCAGCCATCTATCTAAGCTCCACAAATCTTGTAAAAAGTGCACAGAATTGTAACAAAAATTGTCACATAATTCAGTAACATTTCAGTGCGCCATTTTATCTGCAGCACAATAACAAAAACATGGGTACGCTAGTTATAAAACTCATTCTGATAAGTTTTCATATAATTATATAACACCAGGATATGTACTAGTCTTTTACTGCCTGAGTAATAGGAATAATAAAATCATCCAGTGTTGGAACTCACAAGAGTCCACTTGTCACAACCCTGATAACCACTATAACCAGCACTCCCCACAGGGGTCAAAGTGCTAGCTCCTCATCCTCAGTTATTCCTCTAGCTTTCCTAGGAATCATGGACAGTCATACTATTCCCAGGAACATGACGCACAAAAGTCACTGGCCAGGTGGCAGAGTTCCGAGTACAGACCAGTGTTAGCTGCTGTGGGACGTCCTGGGGCCCATGATGGAGCTGCAGACACTGTGCGTTGCGACAGCTGTTGTTCCCCATCAGGAAGCTAAACCAGCAGGACAATTCAAGCTTGGCCACACATGGATTGATAATGACAGTTAATGGAATGACTTAGTTGCCTGTAGGCAGTGTCTGTCTACCAAAAAACGTAACCCACCACAACGTAGTGCCCTTTAGATTGAAACAATCTGGCCTCCCCACCCATTCCTTCTTGCCAGGTGTAAAGGGCATTCATTGGTTAGTACCTGCCCAGGTGCTAATTACTAATGAAAGCAAGGTCATAACTACAGACTTCAGCATCTAAGGAGCCAACTTAACTCTATGGAAAACCAAGTAGCTGTAGCTAGAGTTTCTCAGTTCAGTCCTTATTTTAGGAAATGGGAGTACAACTTTTAACCTGAATAAAAAGGCTTTCGGTACAGTCACTGTTTCAAATTTTAACTGCCAGCAAGTCTGGCAGAAAGGAAAATTTACCAAATATCAATTTTTATGATTTTTTGATGCGTTGTTTATACTCATTCACATCTAAATATTTACAAACACCTTATAGTTTAGTTCTTCTGGAATATTTGTATACTTCTACTTGACTATGGCTAGTTAGGTTTTTGGTGGTAGTGTTTTGTTTGTTTTTTGAGGCGGAGTTTCACTCTTGTTGCCCAGGCTGGAGTGCAGTGGCGCAATCTCGGCTCACTGCAACCTCCACCTCCCGGGTTCAAGCGATTCTCCTGCCTCAGCCTCCCGAGTAGCCGGGATTATAGGCATGTGCCACCACGCCCAGCTAATTTTTGTATTTTTAGTAGAAACGGGGTTTCACCATGTTAAGTTAGATGGTCTCGATCTCCTGACCTCGTAATCCACCCGCCTTGGCCTCCCAAAGTGCTGGGATTACAGGTGTGAGCCACCGCGCCCGGCCAGGTTTTTGCTTATTTAAGCACAAGAACCATACATGGTTTATCCCTCGAATACAGCATCCAGCCCATGTCCAGTATCCTAGGGGCCGTGTCTCCTACCCTGCGATTCTCCTGACACCACAGGGAAGCAGGAACTCATTTCCCAGAGAAGCCAGAAGCACTTTAAGGAACTTTTTGAGTAATTTAAATGATGAAAAGTAACACTACATGCCACTCACACCTCCTTTTCTAAACTGTTCTCCTTACTACTTCCTCCAGCACCACCATTAGGCTAAACTTAAAATGTCAAGGCTAAATTCTTAATGTGCAGCAGACGTTAACAGGGCAGAGTATTGACACAGAAGTGGGGGCTGGGAATTTCCTAGTAACTGACTTTTCACGTATCTACATGATGTTACATTTTTATGTTATATAAACGTATGTTTTAAGTAGCCAATCAGAATAGTGATGAAGTATAACTGGTAGAGTGACTCCAAATGAGTACTCGATACGAGGTATACGGTTATCCTCGTCTGATGACCTTTTTTTAATGGTTACAAAAACTGAGACCCTCAACTTCTGGTAATCAGCTACCAAAATATCTGTGTAGCTCTGGCTCTTTAACATTACTCCTAAAATAGTATCTTTAAATAGATGCCAATGGTTTTATGCTTTTGAAAAGTTTGTATTTACCAACTCCAGGGTAAATATTATGTAACATTATATATATATATATATGTATATATATATATATATATATATATATATATATATACATATATATATATATATATATATACATATATATATATATATATACATATACATACATATATATATATATATACATATATATATATAAAATATACAGAGAGAGTCCAGAATAATAGCCACCCCATAATTTCAAGAACATGTAATGAAATCTCAAATCCTAAATAGCTCTCCTTTTTCCTCTGAGAGTAAGCCACTTCCTGCCCCTAGACCCACATCCTGTCAGACCAAGGCTGCTTAACAAACACAAAAAGCGGACAAACCAGTCCCATCTGTGCTCATTATTATCAGCAAGAAAATCATGACCTTAGAACTAGAAGGGAACTTTCTGGGCATTCACATTCAAAAGAGGGTCATTTTAAAACCAGGTTGGGAAGAGTTCTGTGCTAAGCCCTCCCTACTGTCCACTGCATCTGGGAGGCAGAAAGGAGCTGCTTT
This sequence comes from Homo sapiens, assembly GCF_000001405.40. Lineage (NCBI taxonomy): Eukaryota > Metazoa > Chordata > Mammalia > Primates > Hominidae > Homo > Homo sapiens. Next base: position 158,804,016 of record NC_000006.12, read on the forward strand.
CCATAGGTCTGACAATGAAATGACTGCTAGTCATGCCCGAGTTCCAAGCCTGCACTGCCGAGTAACACTGATGGCCATTTCCGACCTGCTGATGGCGTATGAAAATAATGCTCCTGATACCTATTAGCTGCTAGTTTTTAAGGCCCTTTTTGGTGAGTGTCTCTAATTAAGAACCAACTTCTTCTACACTGGAAATAACATACATTGTGTGTTATCTAACAGGGAAGTAAACTGGAATTCTTAGACACCACTTTCCCCTAAGAAAGGGAAAAGAAATAATCAAAGGATGTTACATTCAGCAAAAGAAACTATTCTTTCTAGAAACACAATCTACATCCTTCTCATCTCCTTACCTCAGGGCAGGCAAAATAAAGAGAAAGGGACCTTGAACAAGAATTTATCTAATAAACTCCTGAAGTCTAAGTCTTGATTGTATACCATGTGATTTCAGTTTCACTAGGTATATCATAAATACTTCATCACCAACATGCTTCACTGAAATGTGCAGGTAATTATACACAGAAACTTAAGTTTAGTAACTACTTAGTAAACTTAGTAACTACACACATAAACAAAAGTAAGGGACAAGGCCAAGATGGCTTATTATATGCTAGAGTCGGTTTTAATTGTAGGCTCAGAAAAGATAGGGAACTAAAGGCCTATAGATTAAACATCACTATTCACCTGGAATGCATGGTTGTCTCTGCAAATTTAGAAGCCTGTGAAGAGTTTTTCCTTTCTTTTTTTCTTATTTTTTTTTATTATACTTTAAGTTTTAGGGTACATGTGCACATTGTGCAGGTTAGTTACATATGTATACATGTGCCATGCTGGTGCGCTGCACCCACTAACTCGTCATCTAGCATTAGGTATATCTCCCGATGCTATCCCTCCCCCCTCCCCCCACCCCACAACAGTCCCCAGAGTGTGATATTCCCCTTCCTGTGTCCATGTGATCTCATTGTTCAATTCCCACCTATGAGTGAGAATATGCGGTGTTTGGTTTTTTGTTCTTGCGATAGTTTACTGAGAATGATGATTTCCAATTTCTGATCTTGGGAGTGAGAAGGTGAGTCTAGGAAACAATGAGGCTGAGGTGGGTGGATCACGAGGTCAGGCGACCAAGACCATCCTGGCCAACATGGTGAAACCATCTCTACTAAAAATACAAAAATTAGCCGGGCATGGTGGCGTGTGCCTGCAATCCCAGCTACTCGTGGGGCTGAGGCAGGAGAATCGCTTGAACCAGGGAGTCGGAGGCTGCAGTGAGCCTACATGGCGCCACTGCACTCCCAGCCTGGTGACAGAGACTCCATCTCAGGAAAAAAAAAAAAAAAAAAAAAAAAAGGTCGAAAAATTTCTTTGCTAACCTGTTTTTTAGAGGACATAAGACATAAACCATACTTAAGTCTTGTGCCATTGCTGAGATAAATTTTTGCCCCTAGTTAAGATCACATGAGCAATATTATACAATGTTAAAGAACATTTCTCCTGTAAGAAACTTCGATTAGACAAGATTTGAACTCACCCCAGTCTTTACTTTTGCCATGTGTCAAAAATTAGCAAGACCAAAGTAGCTTCTTTTAAAAAATCCAAACTAAATCAGTAATCTTACAAAATTTGCTTAAATAAGCAAACCCTGCCAAAACTTTTAAAATCACCATTTCTGAAATTATACTAAATTAAAATTAAAAAAACTCTTCAATTTATACTGTCAGTATCAAGTATGTTACATCTGAAATGGCATTATAATTTGTACATCATTACTTGACTGGAAAAGACATGGTGTACATTTTACAACCCTATCACTCACCCCAACCCCAACCCATGGTTTGCTGTATTTCCTTCCCCCATCCCTGCCCACAGCCCCAGTATGTAGATTGATCTCTTAAAATGGCTAAAGCCCTACCCAGTAGATGCCCCTTATTTTGTTCATTTCAATTTTCAAGTCTGAGAAAATCGCTATTAAGACAATGACCTGTTCCCAGTTGGGTCACAGCACTGTGCCCCATTCCTATGGGCCCCCCAAAACATTGGGAATACAAAGTAATAGTGGAAAAAACTGGGAACAAATCGTTCTATGTGTTTCCAAGTCAGCTGCAATTTTGAGTAGTGACCTCCTTTTAAAACATGTGCATGGAGGGTGAGATGGCCCGGGTGGGGCCATTTGATGAGATCAAATCAGTTACTCATTTGATCCAGAGCACAAAGGTTGCCCCAGCAGCAGGGAATGGGGGACCTGCCCTCGCCCTGAGATCCTCCCACCTCAACACTCAGGCACTTCATGACGAGCAAAAGTAAAGCATCTCTCCCTTTCTACCCTATAACATGCTTTTTAAAAGCAAATATTCTATTATGGAAAGTTGAAAACATTCATAAAAGTAGAGAGAATAAGTAGTACCATGATCCTCCACACTCTCTTTTCAGCTTCAACACCATTCTTTCTTCTACTCTACCACTTTCACTTTTTTTTTTTTTTGCTGGCATATTTTAAGGCCCTCATTCATTATTTCACTTGTAAAAACTTCAGTATATTGCTCTAAAGCACTAAAAAAAAAAATCACAATACCATTATCACATCCAACATAATTTAAAACAATTCCTTAATACGTCAAGTTCAGTAAATATTATTCAATTTTCCTCCATTTCTTTGAAAATGTCTTTTTGCAGTTGATTTGTTCAAGTTATATAATGCACCTTGTTATCACACTATTTCCACATTGCCTTGTTCAGCCACGTTCTAAATAAAAAATCCAGTTTTCTCACCATTATCTGTCTAAATCCATTTAAGAGTCTCACCCAAACAGCAATGGATTATGTAAGCAAATACTTCAACATCCCAGCAGCCAACACCCTTAATTATTTAACTGAGGCAATGAAACACACCTTAATGAAAATACTGTACCAATATACACTACATATATGTTTACAAATAAAGTGATTCCAATCTCATATTTATGTGCTAAGCTTTAACCAAGTGACCTGTGGTTCAATTTTCTCTTTAAAAACATAACAGGCCAGGCGCAGTGGCTCACGCCTGTAATCCCAGCACTTTGGGAGGCTGAGGCGGGCGGATCATGAGGTCAGGAGATCAAGACTGTCCTGGCTAACATGGTGAAACCCCGTCTCTACTAAAAAATACAAAAAAAATTAGCCGAGTGTGATGGCTGGCGCCTGTAGTCCCAGCTACTCGGGAGGCTGAGGCAGGAGAATGGCGTGAACCCGGGAGGTGGAGCTTGCGGTGAGTCCAGATCACACCACTGCACTCCAGCCTGGGCGACAGACAGAGACTCCGTCTCAAAAAAAAAAAAAAAAAACAAACAAAAAAGACAAGGCTGGATCCCAAGACATATTTTATAAGAAATTTACAGATGAAGTAATGGTGCAATAGGTAAAATACTATCAAAACAATCATTTCCCTGAACCACAGCACCTGAGAAAGGATGGAAGAGTAAGTGGGTTTGGAAATGATGGACTTATCACCAAACCCTTGCAAAAACAAGTTCTTGAAGAAAGACCATCATGGTTCACTGTCCAACCCAAAAGTGATTTACCAGAAAACCAACAAAAACACATCACAGTGGGCCCACTCCTAAGTCACTCTGCCCAGTGGTTTTAACGCTTCAAAGAGTCAGTAAAGAATGAAAGTTAATTCTAGCTCTTGCCAAAGCCTAGGTGAAAATTTACAGTAGCACGCTCACCACCCCCTGACGATGTATTAGACATGTGTCTTTCCCCCTGCAATATAAGCTTCTTGAAAGCAGGTCTTTCTTTCAGGAGGGGCTGAGGAAGGCACGGCTCCCTTTACAACTCCAAACAGAAAGCCCATTTTATTTAGTCAGACCAGCATCTCCTTTCCAGAGCATTTTGCCATTGAGGAAAGGTGGGACAATGTGCATTTCAGGCTCAAATACACATTAGCAGGAAATGGGTTCCACCATTCACTGGATGTGACTGTCAACCAAGCAGGTGATAATCCTTTAAAAGCCTCTTTTTGTTCACCAATGTCTCCCCAGTACCTGAAAACCTGGCACAAAGTAGGTGCTCTATTTGTTGAATGAATGAACTTTATGCAGGGTGGTTGTACAGGTGTACCTAACATCAATAACTTAAGAAGAATGCGTGTGTGGAGTTCCGAGCTAAGGAATCCTAGTGGCCAACCCTGAAATCAATTCCTTATCTATGGGGAACATCTGAACCCCCAGCCCACAAGCACTTTAAGGCTGCCAGGTGGAGGCTGTTAGGGGGAGTATGTTAAGTAAGAATGCTGTGTAAACTGCATGCTTTTTCCAAGCTTTCGGGAAGCAGTTGCTGTTCTGTCCAACCCACCACCACTGGACTGTCCCATATGTAAATTTCCAATAAACCTGATGCTATCCCTGTTGAAGTCAACAGAGGTCTAGCAAGACAGCTGTGTTCATCGTGGCAGCAAAAGGACAAACAACAAGGTTACATTTACTTACTACATTATTTCATCGGGCTGCTAAGTTAGAGGAAAAGAATGACCATCACGAGCTAGTAAAGCTTTTAATCAGATTAGAATTTTATCAGGTACAAGTGGAACCGCACAGCCCTTACTGACCAGGGCCAGGCATAAGGCCAGGTGCTTCCCATGTGCCATCTTAGCAGGCATCCCAGGCGGGCACGCAGGATCTTGTTTACAGATGAGGAGGCAGAGGGAGGTGAAAAAACTTGCCCAAGATTACCCACTAGGAGGCAGGTATGTTTACCTATTTGCTCGTCCTTCTTCCCTCTATTTATCCTGCCAATAAACAAGAATTTAAAGTTTGCTATAAAATAATAATGCTAAACAACAAACAAACAAACTTGGGCCAGGCATAGTGGCTCATGGCTATAATGCCAACACTTTGAGAGACTGAGGCAGGAGGATGGCTTGAGGCCAGGTGTTTGAGACCAGCCTGCACAAAACAGTGTGAAACTTCATCTCTATAGAAATAAAAATAAAAAGATTAGTCAGGTGTGGTAGTGAGCGCCTGCGGTCCCCCAGGAGTTCAAGGCTGTGGTGAGCTATGATTGTACCACTGCACTCGTGCTTGAGCAACAGAGCAAGACCGCATCTCAAAAACACAAAAACAACACCTATCCTCTTGCTTTGCTGCCAGAAAAGACAAAAAGCACAAATAAACAAGCACCTGACAGCGTTATAGGTGGAGACCGAGTTCTATGAGTGCAGTAAAGTGGGGCACGGCACAGAGATGGAGCTGTACTTTAGACAGGGTGTTCTGAATCAGGAATGGACTTACAAAACATCTGCAGTCAGAAATTCACATACAGACTATAGTAGATCAAAAGCTCATTTTAAACTATCAATGAGGAAAAAAGCAATTCATTTACATAACATTCTCTTTCCAACTCAAACATCAGGTACAAATTGCTTTCTTTTAGCATATGCCAGAAATCTGTCATTACACAATAGCTTAGCAAGTGTGACACAAGATACTGCCACTTTCTCTACACAAAGACCCACCCAAACACCAGCTTTGTTTAAAACATTACCTCAGCACCACGATGCCTCTCCTCAGTAGTTTCTGAGTCCATGCTCAGAGTCCATGATGTGCTCAACATTGGCTAACAAAACACATTCTGTTCTTTGAGAACAATTTTTTAAAAACTGGAACCAATGGGGTGGATCTGCTTCCAAATATTAGTCCAGCCATAAAATATATACAAGGTTAGAATAAATGCTTAACAATAATTATTTTTATGCTAGAAGCAGGAGTTGGTCCATTTGTTTCTCTAAAGAGCCAGCCAGTAAGTATTTTAGGCTTTGAGGGTCTTACTTGGAGTCCGTTGCATATTGTTGTTTTTAAAATCCTTCAAAAATATAAAAACCATTTTTAGCTGGGAGACCAAATAAAAACAGGCCACAGCCAGACTCGGCCCTAAGATGATAGTTTACCTACCCCATCCTAAAGTAAAAACAATTATTTACAGTATCTGAAATGACAACTGTCCACACAGGCAGTTTAAAATTGATCTCTCAGGCAAAAATGGAAAACAAAATTAGGTTGCAGAAGTGACTTCTAACTTAAAAATATGAGCAAAATCTGATATACTGACTACTAGAGTTTGATCCTCAGGTGATACTGGTTCCTCTCCTATCAATAAAAGGTGGGTCATGGTGAGATATTTTTTATTTTGCTTTTAAGGTTTTGTTTTCAAGTATATTAGATTAAAAGGATAACTTAATGAAGTTTTACATTTCCTTTGAAACAGCATTACTGTTTGCCTGTAAGTGTTAAGAACGGGTTAATGAATAAAGGAAAACAGAACTGACCACTGCTGACTGGGAAGCCCACATCCCTCCACACTTACCCAAAGGATCTTACCAGCCGGGAGGCCCTCCCTGGTCTCCAGGGCACACTTCTCTTCTGTGAAGACCTCTATCATGCACTACACTGCATTGTAATTGCTTACATATCTGCTTTCACTAGGAGACTGAGAACTCCTTAAAGGCAAAACCAATCTTATTTTTATTGTCCCTGCACCAAGCACATAATGGGATATAATAGCGCTTCAAAACATGAAGGTGGTACCCATGTGACTGATAAGGGAATTCCGACTAGAACACACAGAGAGAGGATGGACATGAGACAAAATCAGAGTCCTCCCTTTTACTAAGATAACCCAAACTGTTCATATTGCTTTTTCCTTGAGAAGACCAATGGACAAACTTTACCCGTTTATAGGAACCCAGAGTTTTTACCTAACAGGGTTAAGTTTGAAAAACATTTGCGGGGTAGGGAAACACAAAAGAAACACATAAAGCTTACAGCATCTTAAGATGAGTTGTTTGGATTTCACTGATAAAAACTTTGTCTCCGTTTATCTTATGTAACATTCTTTCCACTTAAAAACTAACTCCCATTTTACGGCTGACGAAATTTAGGTTCACAGATGCTAAATGGCTTCCCCAAATACAGGTAAGCAGTAAATTAGCTATGAAATTCTCTTTATAGCTCTTTGTGGTTTCATTTTGAAAAAAATTATGTGTATTAACTATATCAAGCATTTCAGTCAAAAGTCTCTAAGTCACATTATAGCACAAGGGTTTTGTTTGGTTCTGAAAACTACCCAAGTCTGGAAAAATCTTTTTATGTCAACAGGCATGGATGGTAAATACATCAGAAGGAAAATAATGCAAACTTTGGTCTTTTCAACACACATTTACTGCTGAAATTAAAAACTAATTGGAGTACTTGGGGAGTCTCAAGGTAGTTACTACTGAAATGAAATAAGGGATAATTCAAAATGCATTCACTGACTTTGAAAGCAGACTGAATTTCACTGCTTCAGAATAGAGCTGAAACATCTAACTACCATTAGAAAGCAGACTGAATTTCACTGCTTCAGAATAGAGCTGAAACATCTAACTACCATTAGAAAGCAGGTATATCAAACCACCCTAAGAATCTCCAAATTGTCAAAGAGATATAAAAGTTTAAGTTAAAAAAATTAAGAAAAAAATTATAGTTCACTAAATGATACTGTTTTCCTTTCCCAAACTATAATTATTCAACATTTGTTAGAAATCACATTATCAGCCAGGCATGGTGGCTCACACCTATAATCTCAACATTTTGGAAGGCCAAGGTAGGAGGATAGCTTGAGCTCAGGAATTTGAGACTAGCCGCCTGGGCCACACAGTGAGATCTTGTTTCACAAAAAAATAAAAAATTAGCTGGGTGTGGTAGTGTGTGCCTGTGGTCCCAGTTACCCAGGAGGCTGAGGTGGGAAGATCACTTGAGCCAAGGGTGGGGGCCGGGGCACTGAGGCTGCAGTGAGCTGTGACTGTGCCACTGCACTCCAGCCTGGGTGACAGAGTGAGACCCTGTTTCCAAAAAAAAAAAATTCACATTATTTCATTAACAAAAGAGGCCAGTGTGGAAGGAATAAAAGAGGAACAAGGAATGGGATCTCTTACTTCCCTACCATTTATAGGGAAGGTCTAGCCTCTTTTTTTCTCTTTGAAAACAAAGAGCCAAAATGTGAGAGACCACTGGGCACTGCCAAATGAAGCTGTTACTGGACTCCCTGCAGAGAGAAACTCAAGTCAGAAGAATATTATGTTGAATGGCCTGCCCAAGTATAGGTAAGCAGTAAATTAGCTATGAAATTCTTGTTTTTATGGCTCTTTTTCACAGAGTCATCCTAGCCCCTATTCGAGTCCCAAATACCAATAACAGCACTCCTGGCATTTCAGCCGGACTGTAAGGCGGCTGGGCATCAAGTGACTGCTTTCACCCAAATGGGTGCTCTGAAATCACACTGGGCTTGATTGGGGTGCAGGAGAAAGGAATATATAATAACTGCCCTTTTCCTATTGAATCAGCAGTACCATCTGGAGAGCTTATTTAAAACATAAGCACCCAGCCTGCACCTCACCCTAGAGATGGAAGTCATTAGTTCTTCAAGGGACCCAGGAATCAACAGTCTCCAGACAATTGTGTACACAAAATTTTGAGAACACTGCACTAAATTAACCCTTCCTCTTAACTTTAGGTATGTACGGTGTGTACATATACTAGGGAAAACAAAAAGCTACTGAATTATTTGGATTTAAAAATAACGTAGTTTAAGGAGTCTGGTCCTTTAATATTTTGGGGGGCAGTGGATGTAGTAATGAAAGAAGGCAAGGACTTTTTTCATCAACGATTGTCACAAACTTATTAACATGTAACAACAAATCCAGACTCCCCACCTTCCCCCACACCTGGTCCTTCTCCAGGATTACTTACCTCAGCGATGGCACCACCACACATCCACTTGCGCAAGCCAGAAACGAGAAGTCAGCCTCGACACCACCCTTGGCCCTGCATATCCAACCCATCACCAGGCACTATCAATTCTACCTCCCAAAGAACTCTCAAATGCATCCACTTCTGTTCCCACCACCACCACCTTGGTCCAAGCTATGAGCTCCCTCAATGGTCTACCATAACTACCCTTGCTGTCTCCTGCCTCCTGTGATTTTCCTATTACAGATCACAGTCAACTTTTCAAAAGGCAAATCTGATCATGTCACCTCCCAGTCAAAACCCCAAGTTAAACTAAAAAACACCCAAGAATGGCTTACAAGGCATGGCCTGACCTGTCTTCCTCTCTAGCCACATTGGGCTTCATGTGAAACCCCAAACTCACACTACTTCCTCCCACCACAGGGCCTTTGCACACGTTGTTACCTCTGCCCAGGGAGGTCACGTCCTCAAGGATGCCTTCCTGACCTCCCCTATTTGCACCCCCACCAGCACATACACACTTCATCTACTCTCAGGCCTCATGTACCCCTCTTCAGGCATACTCTCTGAAGCTGCAGTTTTACATTTACTCTGGGATTGCTGTCTGTCCCCGAAACCAGACTGTAAATCCACTGACAGGGACTGTGTCTGTGAACATCCAAATACATTCATTGTGCCTTACAGCGTGATCATGGCAAATCACTCATCCTACCAGCACCTCTCACTGCCACATGGCAAAATGTTAGCTACCTAATTCACCACTGCCCCTCGTGGAGGAGGAGGGGTGGAAACAGATGCTACGCATCCTCCTCAATTGCGAGGGGATTGTGAGGGGGGAGTACATTCAGTAAACTGTCCCTGTTAAAATATTTAATAGAAAAGGTTATGTATTCCCAAAGAGGCAAGGTAATCTCAGAAATTACCTTAAAATTTTGGCACAGTAGAAATGTGAACACACTTTCAGAGTTTTCCTAATGAAAGGTAAACCTGCTTTTGTATTAGAAATGTCTATAACACTTCAGAAATGAACAGGTAAGATGTGTTGGAGCCACTTAAAGGCAGTTCAGCTCTATGGTTCTCATGACAGCTTAAAGAGATCTCAGCCCTGAACACAATCCCCTTTTCCTTCCAGAGCTTAACTACAGCAGTGTTCCTTGCTCACTCCCCATGCCTTCTTTCCACTGGGCAGAAGAAAGCAAGTGTGGGAGAAAGGCGCTCCGCAGTCACCCTAACATGAAGGGGCGGGCAGAGAGGATGCTTCCGGGACCAATGATCTGAGCACCAACTCCTACAACTCTCCCTAGATGGGGCAGACCCACAAGGCCACACAGCACACCATGTCCTGGGGACTGGCCTGAACAGAGGCCAAGGCTCCCTCTGGAACCCCAAATCACCCTCCTTGGACGTCAGCCAGTCACACATGAATAGAGTCCCTAAGCAGCTGTGGGAAAAGCAAAACCAGACAACAAACCACAGCTGTTCCTCCCTGTGGAGTGCTGCCGCGTGCGCCCCCCAGCCCTCAAGCAAGATTCAGCTGAAGTGTTACTTCTCAATACAGTCTGCCAATTTCCCCATCAGATGATTTTCCTTTCCCCATCAGATTTTCCTCTCGACGTTACCTAGGCTCTTTCCCAGTCTGACAGCACTTAGCGGGTTTTCAATTTCAGCATTTACCCCGCATCTTGGCCCAGGTACCAGACACTAAGCTTCCAGAGAACAAGGTCTGCCTCGCCCTCTGTGCAGGTCACTCCGCTTGCTGATGAATAAAGTCTTTTTTTTTTTTTTTTTGAGACAGAGTCTCACTCTGTCGCCAGGCTGGAGTGCAGTGGTGCAATCTCAGCTCACTGCAACCTTCACCTCCCAGGTTCAAGCGATTCTCCTGCCTCAGCCTCCCAAGTAGCTGGGACTACAGGCATCCATACCACGCCCGGCTAATTTTTGTATTTTTAGTAGAGATGGGGTTTCACCATGTTGACCAGGATAGTCTTGATCTCTTGACCTTGTGATCCGCCCACCTCGGCCTCCCAAAGTGCTGGGATTACTGCCATGAGCCACTGTGTACCGCCTCAGTCTTTTAAGTAACTGTTGCTTTTGGGAAACAGTATTAGGAGAAAACACAGGAAATGAGTATTTTCAGTTATACTGTTTTATGAATAAAGTCATCCACTCACTCAGTTCAGGCAAATCAATCAAAAATACTTTGCCCGTTGAATTCAAGGGTTAACAGTTGCAATGAATCAGGTGGAAGGCCAACTACTCAGAGGTATCCATCCTTTAAGTGTGTTTGCCCCTTAATCCAGTTGTTAAACATTAAGCCCAAGAAAACCACCTAACATTCTTCGCTAACATTCTTAACTTAGGCTTGAATAATTAGAATCAATAAACCTTTGTTTAAAGGACACATCCACAGAGCTGTTGGTGGATGTTTCATTTTAACATTTACTAAGGCAGCAAAAAAACCCCAAACCAAACCAAAACTAACTGGATCCTCTCTAACAGCCTTAAGAAATGTCATATTCAAATATGTGCAACCTACGATGCTCTTCTCAGTGATTTGTGGGATGGCTCTAATATAATTTACACACAGAAAGGCTTAGTGTGTTTAACTTATCTCTAAGACCCTCCTCTGCCAAAGAGGGGGCAGGGAGAAATTTCCCATGGCAGACAGGTATGGCTGACCTAAAAGGAAGCCTCTCAAAAAAGGGGTTTTGTTTGTTTTCAGACAACATCTCACTCTGCTGCCCAGGCTGGAATGCAGTGGCTTGATCTTAGTTCACTGCAGCCTTGACCTCCAGGGCTCATCAAGCAATCCTCCCACTTCAGCCTCAGTCAGAGCGCCAGCCACCACACCCAGATAATTTTTCTATTTTTTGTAGAAACAGAGTCTATGTTGGCCAGGCAAGTCTCGAACTCCTGGGCTCATGTGATCTGCCTGCCTCAGCCTCCCAAAGTGCTGGGATTACAGGCTCGTGCCTGTAATCAGGCCACCTCGCCTGGCCTCAAAAAAAGTTTAAAAATTTTAATTGTAGATATTATACAGAATACAGTCTTTCAAAGAGTAACTCTGGCTCTAATACACAAGGTGATGGCTACTGTCTTTCCTTAACAGTTTCACAACTATCTTCACTTTATCAAATGTCAGAAACATCTTTTAAGTTCTGATCTATCATAAAAGACCTCTAAAACAAAATGAAATGAAAACATACCTGCCATAAGAAATAAGAGAGAGAAGGGAGTTCTGACATTGCAACATGGATGAACCTTGAAGACATTATGCTACAGGAAATGAGACTGTCACAAAAGGACAAATGCTATCACGATTCCACCTGCATGAGGTATCTAAAGTTGTCGAATTCATAGAGACAGAAAGTAGAATGGTGGTTGCCAAGGGCTGGTGGTGGGGATGGGGAGGGAGAGTTTAATAGGTACAGAGTTTCAATCTGGGAAGATAAAGTTCTGGAGATGGACCTTGGTGATGGCTATGTAACAATGTAAATGTACTTAATACCTTGAAATGTAAACCTAAAAGTAAGAGGATAAACTGTATATTTTACCAAAATACAAAAAAGAAACCATAAAAATAAATTACCATTCATTATGAGAAATGAGAAAGAAAAGTAGTGACGGAGAACAGGTTAACTTTTTCCTGAGTGCTATCTTAGCTGAGCTCTGCACCTCTTCTTTTAGTGAAATAAAGAAAACCACACCCAGAAGGGTAATCTTCTTGACCACTCCTCCGCATACCGTTGCACTCAGCTCTGCCTGAGTAAGGGGTTGTACTTAGGTCAGTTTCATACCACATGCACTGTCAAGCCTCGATGTCACGTGTCACTTTTAAGTTTGAATTAAAAAGAAAAATTTTGTATAGAAAATACTCTGCATCACAAATGAATCATCTTGATGTAACTTAGGCAAAAATTATATTGGCTTCTGAATCTACTGGCATATTAATTCTTTATCCTAACAGCAAAATTAATACCTCTAACAAAGATCTTAGAGAACATAAAATGTAACAGAAGAAGCACACAAGGCCGGGTGTGGTGGCTCACGCCTGTAATCCTAGCATTTTGGGAGGTCGAGGTAGGCAGATCACCTGAGGTCAGGAGTTTTAGACCAGCCTGGCCAACATGGTGAAACCCCCTCTCTATAAAAATACAAAAACCAGCTGGGCATGGTGGCACATGCCTGTAATCCCAACTACTCGGGAGGCTGAGGCAGGAGATTCGCTTGAACCTGAGAGGCAGAGGTTGCAGTGAGCCGAGATCATGCCACTGCACTCCAGCCTGGGCCACAGAGAGAGACTCCGCTCCCCCATCCCCCACAAAAGGCACACAAGCATTGATTACAGAACCAACTTGTTTGAAAAACCAAAAAAAAATTCCAGATGTATCTGTAATCCCAATTTGTAATGAATCCTGATATTTTGTCCATTGTGATTCAAAACTCAAAAAATGTTAAACCTTCCCCCTAATGTCTAGTCACCAGTTCCCCAGTGTTAAAAGCAGGTAGAATACATACAACTTTCTAAGAAGCGTCAGTCCCAGAGAACCTGCCTTGTGCCTACAACCCCCAGGTCTCGCCAGCAATCTCAACACAATCAGATTCAAGGAGACAGAGGCGCAGGCACAGCCCTTTCATCAGCTGACCAGGAGTGCTCGGCCCGGCCTGCCAGGAACCTCTTATCAAACTCCACCGGCTGCCTGCATCTACAATTCAAGTCCATGGCTAACCTTCTGTTAGAGACAGAAATTCTGCTGCAGCCAGCAAGTTTGCTGGTGTACAGGGCACCGCTTCATGGGCCTAGTAGGAAGCGAAGCTGAAAGGCAACTTCCGAAAGCCAGTCTCCTCTCCCAAACGCCCTTTAATATCTCCCCAGTTGGATCTGGGGCGCCTGTGGTTTCGGACCCTTAGGAGCTCTGAGAACTGGTGTGTGTGGTCGGAAGCCATCTGAGTCTCCCTGTGATTTGGACTTTTTAAGAAACTTCTAAGTTGTATTACTATACCCTTTAAAAACAGACGGAAGCAGTGTAAAAAGGCCTCTAGTTTTTAGAAAAGACCGTAACTACTGGGGAGGGGGCTCACAAAGAAAAAGACTGCAGAGAAAAGCATCAAAATGGTGTTTTCCTAACGCTCCACAAAAGGGTCAACAAGTAACAAAGAGCGGCGAAAACCTCCTCCTATTCCTATCGTCTTCTGCGTGTGAGAAGAACCCTGTTCCCCAGGAACTGCCCCAACACCTCGAGCAGGTGCCTCCCCTCTCCAATGAAGCCTCTCCCGTCCGCCCGGCCCAGAAACTGGGCAACTTACTGGTTTCGGCATTTTCGGTTTCTGGTGAGTATCCTCGATCCCCGAAAACACGACTATCCAGCAGCAGCGAAGACGCTGTCCCAACCTGGAGTCAGAGCAGAACCCTTAGAGCGCCCGCCCGCCCTGCCTCGTCCTCCTGCCGCGCCCGACACTCGGCGCCCGCAGCGCGCTGCCGCTTAAGAACCGGCCAGCCCGGGCCCGGGTGAGTCAGCGCCCCGCCCAGCACTGCGGGCATGGGGAGGGGGCACGGGCGGGGCGGGGCCGGGCCGGGCCCCCGGCGAGGAGGCGCCCGAGAGCGGGGGCGCGCGCCCAAGGGGCAGCCGGCGGGCACTGGAGGTGCCCCCCAGTTGGGGGTGGGTCCGAGGAGAGGGGGTGCGCACCCAGGGGACCCCCAGCATGAAGGGGCTGGTGGGGGGCGCAGGCCCGGGAGAGAGAGGGCAGGGGGAACACTCAGTGGGGAGGATCGGGGGGAGGGGGCGCGGGCCCCGGGGAACACTCGGCCAGGAGGGTCAGGGGAGAGAGCGCCGGCCGGGCGGGGAGGGGTCTGGGGGACACTCGAGGTGCACCCAGCGGAGAGAGGCGGAGAAGAGGGGGCGCGGGCCCAGGGATACCCGGCGGGGAAAGGCCCGGGGAGAGGGAGCGCGCGCCTGGGAGAGAGAGGGCGAGGGGCAGGAGGAACACCTAGGAGGAAGGAGTCCCGGGACAGCCAGCGCGAGCCCGCGGGGCACCCGACAGGGAGGGGTCAGGGGAGAGGGGGCACAGGGCGGGCGGGGGGGCACTCGCTGGGGAGGGATCCGTGGAGAGGGGGCGCGGGCTCGGGGTCCGCCGAGGAACTTCCCGGGGCTGCCAGGAAGCCCGTGAGAAGCCGAGCACTCGGCAAGTTTCACTTTGTGTAGCAACCGTTGCCCCGCGGCTGCAGTCACAACCGTCAAGCCTTTGAGAAACTCTTTCAAAAACTGCAACCGCTCGGGAGCCGCCGAGGGACGGCGCCCAGGCACCCAGGCTCCGCGTTTCCTTCGGGAGAGACCTGAGGGGACCCGGCGCCGAGGGGAAGGTCGCGGGGCCGCGGGCCGGCTCAGCTCCACCTGCCCCGGGGGTGCCGGGCGAGAACCCCGCGCCGCGCCCCCTAGGCTGCCCGCCGCACCTGCCGCCGAACCCCGCCGCCCGCCCGGGCCCTCCACCAGGAACCCCCCGCCCAGAACCCCCGTCCCGACCCCGGCCGCCGCACGCCTCACCCGGCGCCTGCAGTGCTCCGTGTGCTCCCCGCCGCCCTTGCGTCCGCCGAGTGCGCTCGCTGCCCGCGCTCCCAAAAGCCCCGGCGGGGCGGGTCCCGGGACCACGCCCCTTCCCGCCCAGCTCCCGACCTGTGAGGTGCGCCCCCCGCAAGATGGCGGCAGCCGGGCCTCGGGCTGGGTGGGGGCGGAACTTGGCGGAAGTGCGCGCTACTCCCCTCGCAGATGCAAGTGGGGAGGCTGTTTGTCCCACAGCGGGCAGGGGGAAGTCAGGAAAACGTAAATAAATCTGGAGGGGCGGACGGCTTGGGGGAATCGCTGGACCGCTTGGGGCCGGGACCGGGGGCCAGTTCCGAGGCCTCGGCCCTGGGGCGGCTGCACCTGGCCCCGAGTCTCGGTGCACGTGGCCGGCCCAGCCGCCGCCTTTCCGAAGCTCTGGTTAAGTGGCACGTTTGTGGCCTCTTTTGACGTGACTGGCAAAAAGCTCCATGGGATTTCTCTGAAATTCTAGGAATTAAGTTTTTTTGTTTGTTTTTTTGCTAATGGTTCTCAACAAATTTTTAAGACACACAAAACACATACTTTGGGGGCCAGTAGAATTTGCTGCGGGAGAGCTCACTCTAGAAGGGGTTCTCAACGTCTGGCTTCCAGACGAGCAGCAACAGCATTCACTGGGAACTTGCATAAGTGGAAATTAGGTGTTGCTCAGCCTTAGGATTCAGAAACTCTAGGGCTGAGCCCAGCAATCAGTGTGTTACAAGCCCTTCGGGTGATTGTGATGTTGGCTAAAGGTTGAGACCAGAGCTTCTCCTGAATTCCTCTCCTGGGTTTACTCCTCCCTTTCTGCTTTTAGTTTTCTTGTTTGTAAAGCGGCATAATTATGGCACCTGTATCAGAGGGTTCTAATGAGGATAATGAGTTAGTACATGTACGATGCCTGGAACAGTACCTGACACTTAGTAAGCACTTAAATCTATCCTGGTAGAAAGAGAAACCAATGACTTTGGGCGAAGTTCCAAACTCTGTTTCCCAATTTGTTGAGTGAACATACTAGTAGCCCCACCTACATAGACTTGTAAGGATTAAATGAGATCGTGCATGTGGAATGCTTAACTCGTGCTAGCCTCATAGTAATTGATGCTTAACCTGTCTTCCTAGGGACACACTGCTGTTTGGGCAACCCTTTGTCAGGGCCTGTTATCTCCCACTTGCAGATCCAGGGCATTTCAGAGGTCAGAGAGAGGAGGGAGGCCTCTTCTGAGATTTTGACCTCTATTCAGGTAAGTGTATTCCCTCTGAAAGACTGAACTTTTCTTTCCCTTTTTTTTTTAGACGGAGTTTTGCTCTTCTTGCCCAGGCTGGAGTGCATTGGCGCAATCTCAGCTCATTGCAACCTCCATCTCCCAGGTTCAAGCAATTCTCCTGCCTCAGCCTCTTGAGTAGCTGGGATTACAGACACCCGCCACCAAGCCCAGCTAAATTTTTGTATTTTTAGTAGAGACGGGGTTTCACCATGTTGGCCAGGCTGGTTTTGAACTCCTGACCTCAGGTGATCTGCTCACCTCGGCCTCCCAAAGTGCTAGGATTACAGGCGTGAGCCATCACTCCTGGCCTGAATTTCTTTTTTATTAAAATGAAGTTATAGGCCGGGCGCTGTGGCTCATGCCTGTAATCCCAGCACTTTGGGAGGCCGAGGCAGGTGGAACACCTGAGGTCAGGAGTTCAAGACCAGCCTGACCAACATGGAGAAACCCCGTCTCTACTAAAAATACAGAATTAGCTGGGTGTGGTGGCGCACGCCTGTAGTCCCAGCTACTCGGGAAGCTGAGGCAGGAGAATGGTGTGAACCCGGGAGGCAGAGCTTGCAGTGAGCTAAGATCGCACCATTGCACTCCAGCCTGGGCAACAAGAGTGAAACTCCGTCTCAAAAATAAATAAATAAATAAATAAAATGAAGATATAATGGTAACTGCAGTAGAAAGAAAACTATGAAAGATATTTAAATTACCTGCACTGATAATGTTTCCAACTGGACATCAATACCTCCACTGCCTTATCACTGCCTGGAGCCTGGTTAGCCAGTTTGGGTTCCCAACTCTCATAATAGGATATGCCTCTAATCTAATTTTTATCTCGCTCCATTTGAAGTATACTGTCTTCTAAATTGAATGTTTGAAATAGCGGTGCCCCAAGACCTTGAAGAGCATTTCTGAACTTTACCCTTTAGGGGAATGCCAAAAAATGAAGTGGCCTGTGGCAGTGTGGTAAAAATGAAACGGCCAGGTGCGATGATTCAAGCCTGTAATCCCAGCACTTTGGGAGGCTGAGGCGAGCAGATCACCTGAGGTCAGGAGTTCGAGACCAGCCTGGCCAACGTGGGGAAACCCCATCTCTACTAAAAATACAAAAAATTAGATGGGCATGGTGGTGCACGCCTGTAACCCCAGCTACTCGGGAGCCTGAAGCAGGAGAATCACTTGAAACCAACCGTGAGGCAGAGGTTGCAGTGAGCTGAGATCGCACCATTGCATTCTAGCCTGGGCAACAACAGCGAAACTCTGTCTCAAAAAATAAATAAAATAAAATAAAAATGAAACGATGGCAGGTTTTTGAGGCAAACAGAGCTAAGTCTGAATTCTGCTTCCTGCAAACTGACCAACCTGGTCCGTTCGGGCAAGTCTGTCAACCTGACTGAGCATCCATCTCTTCATCTGTAAAATGGAAAGGATAATATGTATTTCATGGTATTCTTGTGTCACTGAATCATATCATATGAGCATTTGACTCACTCAACTTTTATGTACAATTAGCCCTCTGTATTTGTAGGTTCTACATTCATGGAATCAGCCAACCTTGGATGGAAAAGATTTGGAAAATAATAAAAATAATACTACAATTAAAATACCAATAAAAATCCAATACAGAATATAGTATAACAAGTATTTACATTATATTACATATTATAAGTAATCTGGAGATGATTTAAGATATACAGGAGGATTTTGTACATTATATGCAAATACTGTACCCTTTTATGTCAGGAACTTGATCATTGGAGAATTTTGGTATCCTCAGAGGTCTTGGAACCAATCCCCTGTGGATACAGAGGGATGCTATATAATCTTTCTTACATAAGTTAAAATAGTATAAAGTCATATTTGTACATGCATTCCTTATCATGTATCTTACATTACTGTAAGTATGACAACATAGCATTTACATGTTACTGTACTGTTCTGCCCACCAAGGAAACACTTACAGTGTATCTTATGAATGTTTTAAGATTTTCTAAGGGTAATTTATTTTCATCAGGGTTTGGAACCTAAACCCCTGCCCCCAGCACACACACAGAAGACTCAACTCCAGCTGTGTTGAAACTTGAATATGCATTAGAATCACTCATAGTGCCCTTCTCCAGGACTTATGGCTCACTAAGACTAAGTCTCAGGCAGCCCCTGGGAATCTGTTTCTTTAACAAGTCCCCACGTGGTTTTGATGATGTACACCACAATTTGAGAACAACTGACTTAGGATGTGGCAGGACCTTGACGCATATTTCACTTGCCTCTCCTTTTAGCCCTCATTTGTGAAGCTGTTCCTTGTGTTTGAAAGTCATCCTTTTGTTAATATATGATACTCAGTGCCTTGGAAGGAAGTGAGGAAACACTGGAGCCAGGACTACTGGAAACTTCCCTGCTGTTAGTTTAGGTATAAGACCTTGAATGACCCTTCATTGCCGGGTTTCCATTTTCCAGTTTTTCAGCTAGAGAAGGGTAATCCTAAGTCTGCCTCTTGAGCCTGGTGAAGGGCTGTTGGTAATTTCCTGGGAGTTCTTCAGACAAGGTTAAAACTAAAGTGAGGAAGGGCAGCCCTCCCGGAAGCTCAGAACAGTGTCACGGACTAGAACCATTGTACCCAGAACAGTCACATCCACTGATACAGGAGATTTCTATCAAATCACCTTGGAGCCTGTCTCCACACTGGTGCCGGGTTAATCTCAACCAGTAACAAAAAAGTGACCAAAGCTCTATCTAGCTGTAGTCACTTCAAAAGAACAGTCAGTAGGCAGTGGGGAAATACATAAAGAGTACTCTTGGCAAAACAAGGATTGGGGTTATTTTCCACCCTTAATAACCTTGGGGGAAAATGCAAGACGGTGACTAAATCTGGAGGATAGGGCGATGACACAGTGAGAGAAGCATAGAGGTTTCCACTGTCTTGGTAATACTTGACTAAGGTGCCTGGTAGTCCACGGGTTTCCTTTATAGCCTCCTTCCTACCTCTTTATTGGTCTGAAATTTTTATTTTATTGTATTTTATTTATTTTTGAGACAGGATCTCACTCTGTCACCCAGGCTGGAGTGCAGTGGTGTGATCTCTGCTCACTGCAACCTCCACCTCCCAGGCTCAAGAGATCCCCACACCTCACCCAAGTAGCTGGGACTATAGGCGACGCCACCACACTGGGCTAGTTTTTGTATTTTTTGTAGGGATGGGGTTTCACCATGTTACCCAGGCCGGTCTTGAACTCCTCAGGTGATCCACCCACCTCAGCCTCCCAAAGTGTCGGAATTACAGGTGGGAGCCACTGTACCTGGCCTGAAATGTTTATTTAAGAAAAAAAAAAGACAGTAAGCATTTCATTGGCTGAGATGATAGCTACAGAGAAACATTTCATGGAATCATAAAGTTCTATGAACTTGGCATGCAAATTCCTAATATCATCTAACATTCCTTTTTGACTTTGGGAAGGGTGACCAATCCTTTCAGAGTGGGTGAGCAAGCACAGGAACAACTAAGGACTCAGACAAGCTGATAAGTGGCCGTTCGGTGGAGTCCAAATACGTTGTATTCAGAAGGAATATTTAAGGCCAGGCTCAGTGGCTCACGCCTGTAATCCCAGCACTTTGGGAGACCAAGGAGGACAGATCACCTGAGGTCAGGAATTCAAGACCAGCCCGGCCAACATAGTGAAACCCCATCTCTACTCAAAATACAAAATCAACTGAGTGTGGTGGCACGTGCCTGTAATCCCAGCTACTTGGGAGGCTGAGGCACGAGAATCCCTTGAACCCAGGAGGTGGAGGTTGCAGTGAGCTGAGATGGCACCATTGCGCTCCAGTCTGGATGACAGAGCAAGACTCTGTCTCAATTTAAAAAAAAAAAATGTTTAAGGATCTTTATAGTATACTAAGCTAGGAAGAGTGTCTTGGTACTGTTTTGAAGAGTGTCTTGGTACTGTTTTGAAGAGTGTCTTGGTACTGTTTTGATGGCACAACTTACATAATTTGGGTCTGCTAAGAAGAATTCTGGCCACTAACTGTTCTATTTTAATTGTTTCCTTGGCTTATTTAATAATTTGCACAAATATCCTTAATAACTTCTGTGTAAAAGAGAACTAGTGGCTGGGCACAATGGCTCAAACCTGTAATTCCAACAGTTTGGGATGCAGAGGTGGGAGGATCACTTAAGCCCAGGAGTTTGAGAGCAGCCTGGTCAACAGAAGGACACCCTGTCTCTACCAAAAAAAAAAAAAAAAAAAAAAAAAAGAACAAGTACTGATGATCACACAACCTGTTTGACTAATAAACTCCCAAATAGGACAGCTTTCTTTATTATGATTTCTTTTCTTTTTTTTTAGTAGAGACGGGGGTTTCTCCATGTTGGTCAGGCGGGTCTTGAACTCCCAACCTCAGGTGATCCACCCACCTCAGCCTCCCAAAGCGCTAGGATTACAGGCGTGAGCCACCGGCCCAGCCTATTATGATTTCTTATCCTTGATCATTGTTTTGTTCCCCCACCCACACTTGCCCCCTTTTGTTTTTGAGACAAGGTCTGGCTCTGTCACCCAGCCTGGAGTGCAGCAGCACAGTCTGGGCTCACTGCAACTTCAGCCTGCTGGGCTCAAGCCAACCTCCCACCTCAGCCTCTCAAGTAACTAGGACTACAGGCATGCGCCACCACCAGCTAATTTTTGTATTATTTGTAGACACAAGGTTTTGCCATGTTGCCCAGGCTGGCCTCGAACTCATGAGCTCAAGCAATCTGCCCGCCTTGGCCTCCAAAGTGCTGGGATTAAAGGCATGAGCCACCCAGCTTGGCCTCTTTCCCCGTTTTTTGAAAAAAAAGTATGTGGCATAATGGGGTAGTTGGAAGCTTAAACCTCCTCTATTCGGATACTCTCATTTGACAGAGGAACCGGGCCCCAAAAGATTAAACTGATTGTCCTCATTCCTGCACTTAAACTTCTCTTGTCAATATTAACATTACCTCCATCTTGCTGAATCCAGAGGCCAAACCTCTTGGCCTCATCTGACCCTTCTCCTAAGCAGCTTTCCACATGTCCAACCATTCCCTGAGCATATTTTGTGCTTAGGATTTCTGTGCTTTCTCTTCTCTTCCCCTCTGGGTCCTTCCCAGCCCTTATCTATGTACGAATTCTTCCCCTAGGTCATGTAGCCTGATCCCAAGGCTTCAGTCACGTCCCCAGCCCTGCCTTTTCCCCCAGCAACAACCGTCTATTGGTGTCTCCAGGGTTCTTGTTTGTTCAAGAACTTCCTCCCTCCTAGCCTCCCTGTTCTCAGCAAAGAGCTCCACCACACACGCTGTTACATGGCCCCAAACCTAGAGGTAACCTGCATTCTCTTTTTGCCTCAACCCCATTTTATCCTTCACCCCTGTGCCTCCAGTCCAGCAGACCAAACAGCCACATTTCCCGGCTAGGTCAGATGGTGCACGCCTGGGTTTGGGGATAAAATTCAAACTCCTCCTTGGCCGGGAGTGCATCGGCATCTCCAGCTGCGTCTTCTTTCCCTCACTCTCACTCGCCCTGAGCTTGAGCTCAGCTGGCTCTGCTCCCGCTGCTGATTTTTTTATCTGTGATCACTCAGCCCCGTTGCTGCCTTAGAGGTCTTGTGCTTCATATTCCCACGGCCTGGAAGGCATGTCCCCCATCTGTGCCAGCCTGGCCTTTTCTCATCCTCCAGGTCTTTGCAGCAGTGCCTCCTCCTCTAAGAGCACTTCCCAGCCACTGTCCCCTGCTGCCCCTGCCATCTGAAGAGCCACCCTCTGGTGCCCCGCCACTTCACCCGATTCACTGCCTTCAGAGAACTTGACTCTGCAATTCTCTTCCTTGGTTTGTGTTTTTTTTTTTTTTTCTGATTTGAGACAGGGTCTCACTCCATTGTGCAGGCTGGAGTTCAGTCGTGAGATCATGAAGATCATGGCTCACTGCAACGTGAACCTCCCAGACTCAAGCGATCCTCCTGCGTTGGCCTTTTGAGTAGCTGGGACCACAGGTGCGTGCCATCACGCCCAGCTAATTTATTTATTTATTTATTTATTTTTAGAGACAGGGGTCTCACTATGTTGCTCAGATTGGTCTTGAACTGGCCTCAAGCAGTCCTCCTGCCTCAGCTTCCCCATTGTGTTTTGTTTTTGTTTTTTGAGACAGAGTCTCACTTTCATTGTTGTCCAGGCTGGAGTGTAGTGGTGGTGGTGTGAACACAGTTTCTTGCAGCCTCGACATCCTGAGCTCAAGTGATACTCCCACCTCAGCCCCTCAAGTACCTGGGACTACAGGTATATGACACCACACCAGGCTAATTTTTGTATTTTTTGTTGAGATGGGATTTCACCATGTGGCCCAGGCTGGTTTTGAACTCCTGAGCTCAGGGGATCCACCCACCTTGGGCTCCCCACAAGAGTTGAAGCTCCTCTCAGTCTTGTTTGTTTGTCGATGGACCCTCAGCAACTAAAACAGTGTCTGGTGTGTGGTAGCTGTTCAATAAATATCTGTTGAATAAATGAATGAACAAATCCTGTTAGTTCCAGAACCGGGGTACTCTGGTAAGTTTTCCTTCCTGTGTATCATACTGCTGTCCACTGGGTTGCTAACCATGGAAACACCTTACTTGAAGTCTTATTTAGCAGCCCAGCTGTCCAAAACACCATCGAAAACCAGATGTTAAAAAAAAAAAAAACAAAAAAAACCAGAATTCATGTTTTTAGAATTTCTCTGGGTTTCCCCTAAAGTGTATTAATTCCTGTTTTCATTGTGAGTCTAAGTTTTATTAGTTCCTTTCCCAGGCCATGGCAGATTAGCAGAGAGGGTGCAGGGTGCAGGCAGACACACTGACAGCAGTAAGAAGCAATGCTTGATGGTGAAGAGGCAGGAATTGTACAGAGCAGGCAACTCAGAAGGACAGCCCGGAAGCCCGAGGGCATTGATTGGTGTTCCTGGTGATTGTTTTCTCAGGAAAGGGAGCTATGTCTGCTCTCTATTATCATAAAACATGTTATTTTGTAATGTTTAAAAAATGGTGAAATGTTTTAAATCTTCAGGAGTTAATTCAATAGACAACTATCTCAATTTAACAAATGGTATTATTTTATCCCATTAGTTTCAGGTTTTTAAAAAAAAGAAATAACGGCCGGGTGTGGTGGCTCACACCTGTAATCCCAGCACTTTGGGAGGCAGAGGCAGGCAGATCACCTGAGGTGAAGAGTTCGAGACCAGCCTGACCAACATGGAGAAACCCCGTCTCTACAGAAAAAAAATACAAAATTAGCCGGGCATGGTAGTGCATGCTTGTAATCCCAGCTACTCGGGAGGCTGAGGCAGGAGAATTGCTTGAATCCAGGAGGTGGAGGTTGCAGTGAGTCAAAATCGCGCCATTGCTCTCCAGCCTGGGCAACAAGAGCAAAACTCTGTCTTAAAAAAAAGAAAAAAAGAAAAAGAAATAAAATGCGATAGATAAATTAAAGCCTCTCTAGCCCTCCGCAGGAACAATCAATGTTCTAAAGTTGCTGGGTTTCCTCTATGCAAGGGTTAATTTTGTTTGTTTGTTTGTTTGTTTGTTTTTTGAGATGGAGTTTCGCTCTTGTTGCCCAGGCTGGAGTGCAATGGCACAATCTCAGCTCGCAGCAACCTCCGGCTCCTGGGTTCAAGCCATTCTCCTGCCTCAGTTTCCGGAGTAGCTGGGATTACAGGCATGCGCCACCATGCCCGGCTAATTTTGTATTTTTAGTAGAGACGGGGTTTCTCCACGTTGGTCAGACTGGTCTCGAACTCCGGACCTCAGGTGATCTGCCCGCCTTGGCCTCCGAAAGTGCTGGGATTACAGGCGTCAGCCACCGCTCCTGGCCAAGGGTTAATGTTTTATATGAAAAAAAAAAAAAAATGTGGCTGGGTGTGACTCCCTCCTGTAATCCCAGCACTGTGGGAAGCTGAGGCAAGAGGAGGATTACTTGAGCCCAGGAGTTCAAGACCAGCCTGGGCAACATGGTGAAACCTCATCTCTACTAAAAATACAAAATTACCTAGGCATGATGGGGCGCTTCTGTGGTCCCAGCTACTCAGAAGGCTGAGGCGGGAGGATCACCTGAGCCTGGGAGGTAAAGGCTGGAGTGAGCTGAGGTCATGCCACTGCACTCCAGCCTGGGTGACCGAGTGAGACCTGTCTCAAAAAAAGAAAAAAACCAAAAACATGAAACAATTTCCTAAATAAATTAGATGTTATTAATTAGGTGTTTAATTGCAGAATATAAACGAATTATTTTTAAATCATCCTGATTTTTTATTTCTTTCCGCTTCCTTCTTTTTTTTCTTATGAAAGGCTACCTTAATAAAGCAGTATGTGCTGAAATGCCCGGCACGACACAGGTGGTTATCAGTCATTTGGATTGTCCTCTGCTCAAACTGTGAGTTCCTCAAAGGTGAGACCAGTGACTACTGGTCTTGGTATCTCAAGTACCTAGCATAGAGCCTTGCACATCATAGGGGCTCAGTAAATATTGATCGAACTGAATTGAAAACTGAGCCCCGTGTGTTTTCTGTAGTGAAGACAATGTCTCACTAAGCATTTAGATGTCCGGATCCCAGAGATTTGACATGTAAACTAGATAATTGGCACTTGAAATATTTTCTTTAATTAAAAAAAAATTTAGCTGGGGCGCAGTGGCTCACACCTGTAATCCCAGCACTTTGGGAGGCCGAGGCAGGTGGATCACAAGGTCAGGAGTTCAAGACCAGCCTGGTCAACATGGTGAAACCCTGTCTCTACTAAAAATACAAAAATTAGCCAGGCATGGTGGCACACGCCTGTAGTCCCAGCTACTCGGGAGGCTGAGGCAGGAGAATCGCTTGAACCCAGAAGGTGGAGGTTGCAGTGAGCAGAGATCGAGCCACTGCACTCTAGCCTGGGCGACAGGGCGAGACTCTGTCTCAAAAAAAAAAAAAAAAAATTTAAGCCTTCTGATAACCAGGGAAAACAAATTTCTGTAGCAGGTAACGAATGTTACCTGACCCTGTGGAATCTTACTGAATATCAAAAGGACTCGTTCCAGAAGGAAGTCATCTTGTAATGTCCTGGGCAGTGCTTCACCCTAGGCTGAAACATGGGCCACATACTTCATTCACCAATCAGTGAGCTATAAGGGAGAGCAAGACAGATAAATCTTGAAGTTTACGCTTAACTAAAACTTGGCCTTTGGCTGTTTGGGTTTTCCCAGACTTCCCATGAATTTCCATGAAATCAGCATTGTCACTTTGTCAATCTGCCGTTCCCAGCCACCTACTCAGACTGGGTCCTCAGGTCACCCTGAGAATGTGACTGGGGAATACAGAGACTGGGACGTGGAGTCCAAGGGCAACTGACTGTAAGGTCTGGGTCTGGTCCTAGTTCTGCCATTGACCCTGAGTGTTGGCACAGCGGCCATCTGAGGGACGTGCTAGCTGGGAGGTAGGCTGGCCAGCTCTCAGCTTCTGCGCATGGCTGTTGCTATGCTAGAACATGAGCCCTGTCCTGCTACCTGTCTCATTTTCAAGAAAACCCTGAAATCCTGATTTTTATGTGACATTTCCCAATTCTTTTTTCTCTTTGAGATAGTGTGTCACTCTGTTACTCAGGCTGGAATGCAGTGGTGCATTCTTGGCTCACTGCAACCTTGAACGTCCAAGCTGAAGTGATCCTCCCACCTGAACCTCCTAAGTAGCTGGAACTAGAGGTGTATGCCACCATGCCCAGCTAATTTTTAAATTTTTTGTGGAGATGAGGCCTCACAATATTGCCCAAGTTAGTCTTGAACTCCTGAACTCAAGCAATCCTCCTGCCTTGGCCTCCAAAGTGCTGGAATTACAGGCATGAGCCGCCACCGTGCCCAATTCCCAGTTCTTAAATATTGGCAAATGAGTTACAGTTTTTTTCCAAGATCCTCTGCAAGCCAGATGAGACGTGTGCAGGCCAGATGTGTGTTCCTCCCTGCCTTCTGCTCTGCAGATCCACTTAGTGTCTGTCCTATACGTGGGTTCAACCAGGTAACTTTTTTTTTTTTGAGACAGAGTCTCACTCTGTCGCCCAGGCTGGAGTGCGGTGATGTGGTCTCAGCTCACTGCAACCTCTGCCTCTCGGGTTCAAGTGATTCTCCTGTCTCAGCCTCCCCAGTAGCTCGGACTACAGGCGCGTGCCGCCACGCCCAGCTAATTTTTGTATTTTTAGTAGAAATGGGGTTTCACCATATTGCCCAGGCTGTTCTCGTGACCTCAGGTGATCTGTCCGCCTTGGCCTCCCAAAGTGCTGGACTACAGGCGTGAGCCACCATGCCCGGCCTTAACCAGGCAACTTCTAATGTCCCACTAGGCTTCAAAACACTGTCACTCCTGGCATGCTTGACTTTCCCTGGTGACAGTGCTGGCAGGGACTGTCCTCCCTGAGTCTAGGTGTGGTAGAAGACACACAGGCCCATCCACGCAGCCTCTCATTCTGTGCACACGCAAAGGCAGCTCTCGTGGTCGCATTTTCAGTTTGGGGAGTTGTCATGTTGGTAACTGTAGGCCTTAGACTTAAGGGACATTCGAGGAGGGAGTGACCCCCTTTCGTGGTGGACACAACACCCTAAATGGCTAGCCTCAGCTCTTCCTCCCTGGCAGGCCCCATCTATGCTGACCGCCCTGGTGGGGTTCTGAGCTGTACACCCCAACCCCTTACTCTGCCAATAAGAAAGAGTGGCTTCCATGTTTCTGCACACTTCCTTGCCAGCAGGGTTGTGTTTTGCTTCTAGACTGGCAGCGTCCACAGCCCTCTCACCAGTGAGCACCTCTGACGGCTCCACATCCCATCTGCCCCATTGTTGTGGCTGTGAGAGCTGTTCAGGGTTGGTGGAATGACCACCACAGCAGATGGGCATTGAGTGCAGGGTCCCTGCCCTTCCAGGCAGCTTACTTTCAAAGGCACGGCCATTCCACAACACGCTTCTCCTCCTGGATCTACCTACAGCAAAGCTGGGACTATTGGCATGGATTTCCTAAGACTTGCTTTCATTTCGAAATTGTTTTTAAGAAAGAAAAAGTAAAAGCAGCTCCGCACAATGGAAAAGCTACTTTGCATCTCATCTCCAAGTGGAGCTGACCTGGATAGTCATCCCCTGGTTCCTAGGTGGGGCAGGTGCTAACTGGCGGGTGGGCAGGGATGACGCCCATAGGAATGTTGACAAACTGGGTTTTGTGAATCTCCCGAAGCTCAGAACTCTGATGGCATCGATTCTTGGTGGCTCTTCCTCCCTTCTCTTCCCTTTATCCCAAGGTCTGGCCATCGGATCCTAGAACTTGCAACTGAGAAGGGGGAGACCTGGCTTCCATGTAGAGGACACACGATTTCCTCCCCTCTGAGGGGGCTCGTGAGGGTGACTGTCGGGCCTCTCCTGGAGCCTCAGAGAAGGACTCACTTGTCTGTGGGTGAATTTGGAAGGAGAACCTGGGCATACAGAGCCCAGCCCTTTGGCTCACTCTTCCTCTTGGGAGCTGACCCGCCCACTGCTCTATCTCTTCCAGCCATGCATGTTGTGGGGCCTGGTCCCCTGTGGATGGCCCATGGTGGCCTAGAGCTGTCTCTGCCAGGGGGCATATTTGTCTAATTCCATCATGCAGTTTTAGGCAGTCCATTTGCCTGTAGATCGAGGCCATGCCCTCCAACGGTGGCTTTATCAGCAGTAAAACTTGCAGGTTTCATCTCCCTTGTCTCATTCACTGGCCCTTTCACATTGCAACCAGCACCTCTGCTGGCTCCCAGGCTGCTCCGCTGGAGCTGAAAAGAATGAATACCCATCTTCAGCAACTGTATCTTTCCCCCTCTTAACTTAGGCTCGGGAATCAAGCTTCCCCTAAATAATGAATTGGACTTTATTCTCTCTAACCATACCAGCTCTCAAAACATTGGAAGCCAGATTTACTGGGTCCAAATGTTTATGTTTATGGTTAGTTACATCAAAGAGACTTTGTCATTAGTAAAAGTGTTTTAATTTAAGGCAGGAACTTGGTTATGGCTCCTTGAAGACATCTGCTTACATTGCCTGGTGTCTATCCCTGTATCTGACACCCAGAGAGCTTAATAAACATTTTTATTCCATCAGTTTGGTTGATTGAATGAGCCTGGACTTTTTCCTTTGTAACTCTCCAAAGCACTGAGCTCTCAGCAAAACAGAACCAACCAAGATGTGGCGCTGACTGACTCAACTGAACGTTTATCCCCAGAGACTTCTGATAGCGATCCTACCTATTCGAATTGAATCCAGCTCTTTATGTTTTAATTACTTCTTGTTATTCTCATTTTCTTTTCCCCATCATCCTAATGTGTTTAACATGTCTGTTTATATGTATTTTCCATAAAGTATATATTATTTAACGTACACATGCTTTCAATTTATTTATTTATTTATTTATTTATTTATTTATTTATTTATTTTGAGATGGAGCCTCACTGTGTCACCCAGGCTGGAGTACAGTGGTGCGATCTCTGCTCACTGCAACCTCCGCCTCTCAGGTTCAAGCCATTCTCCTGCTTCAGCCTCCCGAGTAGCTGGGACTACAGGCGCACTCCACCATGCATGGCTAATTTTTGTATTTTTAGTAGAGATGGGGGTTTCTACGTGTTGGTCAGGCTGGTCTCGAACTCATGACCTCAGGTGATCTCCGCCTGCCTTGGCCTCCCAAAGTGCTGGGATTACAGGCATGAGCCACCATGCCCAGCCAGCTTTGTGTTTTTAACATTCATTTTTAGAAGTATTTTCTCTCCCCCTTTTCAGAAATATATTCTCCTTCATTTTCCTTTCTTAGCATTTTAGTTTACCATCCACATTTGGGACTTTCTCTGGAAATAGAGTCCACCCTTCTGTGCAGTTAAATTTTATTTTTCTCCATACAGATAGCCAGTTTTCCCAGCTCCATTTACTTCATGATCCACCCTTTTATTATTTATTTATTTATTTTGAAATGGAGTCTCGCTCTGTGGCCCAGGCTGAAGTGCAGTGGTGCAATCTCGGCTCACTGCAACTCCACCTCCCAGGTTCAAGCGATTCTCCTGCCTCAGCCTCCCAAGTAGCTGGGATTATAGGCGTGCACCACCACACTCAGCTAATTTTTGTATTTTTAGTAGAGACAGGGTCTCACCATGTTGACCAGGCTCCCAGCCTCAAGTGATCCTCCCACCCCAGCCTCCCAAAGTGCTGGGATTACAGGTGTGAGCCACCACCGCCAGCCACGATCCATCCTTTTCCCATTGATTTGTGATGTCACCTTTATGGTATATTATATTCCCATGTGTCCCTGGGTCTATCTGCTGGTTCTCTGTTCTGTTCCATTGGTCTATGCATTCTTGCATCTGTGGGCTATGTCTTTGCAGCAGTAGATATTAACCTCTGATGGGGCACATTTTCTCCTCATTGTTCCTCTTTTTTCACCGTGGATCTTCATGAAATTCCACTGTAAGCAAATGAATCTCAGGAAGATCTCTGCAGGAGCTGCTCCACTAAATATTTCACCTTAACTTTTGTCTCTTCATATCATGCTTATTGTTTGATTGTTAAATGTGAAGCATTCTTTATTTTATTTATTTTTTTGAGATGGAGTCTCGCTTTGTCGCCCAGGCTGGAGTGCAGTGGCATGATATCCACTCACTGCAACCTCTGCTTCCAAGGGTTAAGTGATTCTCCTGCCTCAGCCTCCTGAGTAGCTGAGATTACAGGTGTACGCCACCACGCCCAGCTAATTTTTGTATTTTTTTATTAGAGACGGGGTTTCACCGTGTTGGCCAGGCTGGTCTCGAACTCCTAACCTCAAGCGATCCACCCACCTCAGCCTCCCAAAGTGCTGGGATTACAGGCGTAAGCCACCACACCCAGCCAGCATTCTTTAAAAATACGTTTTTGTTATATAATTCAGACTGATGTTTCATTTCTACTCAGTTATAATTATTGTGAGCGTTTTGGCTAGGTACAGTGGCTCACACCTGTAATCTCAGCACTTTGGGAGTCTGAGGCAGGAGGATCGCCTGAGCCCAGGAGTTCGAGGCCAGCCTGGGCAACATAATGAGACCCCCATCTCTATTTTAAAAATTACTGTGATCATTTAAAACATAAATCTCTGAAAAAGTGAATGCTCTATCATTTGAGAAGGGCTCATTTGTTGCTAAAGGAGCTAGGCACACACCCAGGACGATGGCCCAGCTTGCCTGTCGTGTGAGTAACCGGGCAGCATAGCCTTGCCATCTGGACATCCCCAGCCACTCAGGGAGTCATACAAGAACCCTTGTTTCCACTCCAAGGCCTCTGCCAGGCAGGACACACGGTCAGATCGCCCCTGAAGGCTCTCAAGTACTTGCTTGGCATTCACTGGTTCCTAACTTCTGCATTGTTCTCAACTCCTTTCCTCCCTCTCCCACCACATCCTCTGTTCTAATCCCTGACAGTTCCACTTTTATATCCATTTTCTCCTTCCCAGCCTCCAGAGCCCTCTCCCGCCAGCTAGAGCCAACTCAGTCCATCTGAACCCTGTGCTAGCCCCAAGGGCTGACCTGGACCCAACAGCCTTGGGCTGTAGCAGTGGACACGTGTCAGGGTGGCCCGACTTTGGCTTTGTGCTTCGACTTTTTGTTCTCAGCTTGCTCCCTGGATCTGGTCAGTCATGTAACTAGTCTGTTTTCTCAGCCATGCATTATTTATTCTTACTAATTAAGCACACTGGAGGGTCCTGATTATTGGAGCTTTGTTCTCTCCCTCACCTGGGTGCTTGCCAGGTAACTTCCTTCCCCAGATGACCCAGATCCTTGAGAACCTGGGTGGTGTTTGCTCTTCTGATTCCTTCTCCAAGGAATTAAGAGTCGAGCATGTGGGGGTCCTACCACCTATTGACCAATCTCTTGGATGCAGATCACCACAAACTGTAAAAATCGCCTTTTCCACATTTACTGGCTCAGGTTGCTCTGAGGGGTGGATACTAATATCTCCTCCCCACGAAGGAGGAAGCGGGGGCTCAGAAGTTAAGTGGCTTAGCCAAGGTGTGTGGCCAGAGGCGGTGGAGCCAGGGCTGCCCCTATACGGCTGATTGTCACAGCCCTCACTCCTCTCCTGCGTCACAGAGCCCCACCTCCCGGGCCCCACTCCGCCTCGTCCTGCTGCTGGCTGGGTCTGAAATGAGATAAGCCTATATTGAGAAACTCAGTTCCTCCGCCCTGGACAATTACAACAATCTGCACGTTTGCCCCTTTATCCATTCATTCGACCAACGGATCGTCATTAAGCACATCATTTGTGCCAGACAACGCTTCAACATGGCTTATTTTTTAGTTCAGCATTGACTGAGCAATCAGAGCTGTGGTTTGGATTACGGCACGCTCCTGCTCCCAAACCTTCAACGACATAGCTCAGGACAGGGCCTGCTGGAGCCAAGGAAGGCTGGGCAGACTGGGCAGTCAGGGAGAAGCTAGGACCTGGAACCACGCCCATCCGTGAAGCTGGGAAGGCCAAGCACAGTGTGCAGAGGGCATGGCCAGGGCAGGCTGGGGTCTGGGAGGCTCAGCAGCAGGGGGGCAGGGAGGGGCGGGGCATCGAAGAGGTCCCTCAGGGCAGGAGGATGCAGGGCAGGGAGAAGCTAACCAGACTCAGGGAAGATCCTAGGGCCCAGCCCCTCCCAGTCAGGGAAAGAACTCCAGACCCTGTGAAAGGTGAAAAAGGAGAGGAGGGTCCTTCTGCCATAGGACCAGGCTGCTACACCTGCTTTTATAAGGCCGGTGATGCCTTATAAAAATTGAGGCAGGCCAGGCATAGTGGCTTATGCCTGTAATCCCAGCACTTTGGGAGGCTGAGGCGGGCAGGTCACCTGAAGTCAGGAATTGGACACCAGCCTGACCAACATGGAGAAACTCCGTCTCTACTAAAAATACAAAATTAGCCGGGCATGGTGGCGCATGCCTGTAATCCCTGCTACTCGGGAGGCTGAGGCAGGAGAATCACTTGAACACAGGAGGTGGAGGTTGCAGTGAGTCGAGATCGTGCCATTGCACTCCAGCCTGGCAATAGAGCAAGACCCATCTCAAAAAAAAAAAAAAAAAAAATTGAGGCAGAAAAGGGTAACACATCGTGGCTAACACAGCAAGGGGATGCTTGCTTCAGGAAAGATGGGTCTGGAGCCCAGGGGAGACAGCTTGGGTCCCAGGGGGCCTGACTCATTGAGCAGGGGCACAGGAGGTGCCGGGGAGCACACAGCTGACGGCTGCACCCCAGAGTCCTGTGTGGAGGATCCACAGCCCTCCGGGATCCGATCCCCACCGCCGGTGTACCCACCACCCTCTTCTTTCCTACACTGTGGTCATGTGGCCTTCTGCCCTCTCCCAGGCTGATCGCAGTCACCCCTGCTGCTGCTCCTGGACTTGTACTTTCCTGCAGCCCACCTCTTTACTTCCTCAACCCTACTTATCCTTTAAGACCCAGTGCAAAGGCAGCAGACCAGACCTTCCCATTCTGTTTTAGCCACTCCCCTGACCTCAAGTTCTGCTCACTTGCTCACTGCTCCCTTGCCAGCTGTGCCAGGTTCCTAGGGCTGCTGTCACAAGGGACCGCAAACTTGGTGGCTGAAAACAACAGAAATGTATTGTCTCTCAGCTCTGGAGGCTGGAAGTCTCCCTCTGAAACCCACAGGGAAGGATGCTTCCTTGCCTCCTCCAGCTTCTGGTGGCCCCAGGCATTGCTTGGCTTGTGGCAGCATCACTGTCATCCCTGCCTCTGTGGTCACAGCCTCATCTTCCCTCTGTGTCTCTTCTGTCCTTATGGGAGCACCAGTCCTATTGGATTAAGAGCCCGCCCTACTCCAATGTGACCCCAAACTAATTACATTTGCAATGACCCTATTTCCAAATAAGGTCACATTAGGAGGTACCGGGGGTTAGGACCTCAACATATCTTTTTGGGGGACACAATTCAGCCCGTAACACCTGCTATTAGAGTTAGCTATACACAGGTCCGCATCCTTCATGACAGGTCTCCATCCTTCACAGCACTAAGTCCCTTGTCTACCGTTCAGTGGTTTTGGAATGAGACCTGGGTTTGCCACTCACCCTTTGTATAAACTGGAGCAAAATTCCCAAGCAATCTGTCCTTTCCCATCTGTAAAATAACCACAACACCCAGAGTCACTGTGCTACTCATTAGAGTCAATTCATGCACCTGGCGAGTGCCCAGGAAATTTTAATTATAACAATAATACAATAAATTAATAAATGTATTAAAACAATAATAACATTAATCAATTAATTATTAAATAAAACAATAATTAATATTGTGTGTTGAACATAGCAGGTGCTCAATAAATAAACGTTAGTCACCATTTCCTCTAATAGGTATGTACAAAACTAGCCAGCTAGCAGAACACTGGAGCTGAGGAGCTTTTCCAGAGGGAGGGGGAAGGGGTGGCCAACAAGCCCTGGAGGCCCCATCCGTCCCCTGCATCATGAGAATTGCTGAGGTGACTACGTGGCGCTGCCCATTCTTGCCTGGGTGGCAGGGAGATCCCGGTTCCCACTCCCACACCACAGAATCCTGGCTGTCTCTGTGGAAATGTGACGGTGGAGCAGGCAGAGACTCCACACCCGGCTCTGTTCTCTAAGGCTGTGTGTGGGTGTGTGCGTGTATGTATGTGTGTGTCTGTGTGTAAGGGCTTGGAAGACAGAGGCCAGAAGAGCCAAGAGTCCTTCCAAAAGGATCTGTTTCAGGCTGGGATGAAAGACGGCAACCACAGCATGCCCTCCGGCTCTGCAGGCCTTCCTGGTTTCTGTGGAGAACCAGATTCTTCTGTGGAAAGAGGATGGGTGGCAGACGCAGCCAAGCATTTGGAATCAGAGACCTGGGTCTGAAACAGAACTCTACCTTTGATGAGCTGGGTGACCTCAGTGACCGCAGCTTTCTCTCAAAGTGGGGCCGATAAAATCTGCCCTATCAAAGAAGAACATGATACAAGTGCCAGCTGTTAATATTTATGTCTCATTGTTGCCAACCCTTGAAGATAGGTTTCCAAAGCACATCCACATTTACAAAGTACTGTCACAGCTTTGCTTTGTTTCGATTTTCATTTAGACAACAAGAAGTAAAAAACAAAACTAAACCTTTTAATTACTATTAGAAAGAAAGGAATATGTCTAAGCTTCAGTATTCATCTGCAATGGGATCAAACTTGGCCTCCTTTATCCTCTGCATATTTTATGAACATCCAAAAATATATGCTTCTATTTCGAGGGATTTCCTCTTCTTCTTTAGTTGCTTCTTTATTTTTCTTTTTCATTTTTCTGACCCTATGTATTATATTGAAGAATTTCTTCTTCTTTTTTTATAATACATTTTATTTATTTATTTATTTATTTATTTATTTATTTATTTATTTGAGACAGAGTTTCACTCTGTCACCCAGGCTGGAGTGCAGTGGCACGATCTTGACTCACTGCAACCTCTGTCTCCTGGGTTCAAGCGATTCTCTTGCCTTAGACTCCCAGGTAGCTGGAGCTATAGACCTGTGCCACCACTCCCAACTAATTTTTTTTTTTTTTTAAGTAGAGACAGGGTTTCACCATGTTGGTCAGGCTGGTCTCGAACTCCTGACCTCAAATGATGGGCCCACCTCAGCCTCCCAGAGTACTGGGATTACAGGCATGAACCACTGCGCCCGGCGAGTTTCCTCTTCTTAAGAGCAAACTCTGACCCAGCATATGCCCTCATTAGACTTTAAACAAGACAAATCCTTCCATAGTAGACACTAATCATCATTTCCTTGAGGTTTATAGGTAAACTGTTTTAAGGTGACATACCTAAGTGGATGCAGGTTTTTAGAAAAGAAGATAGTGAAGGAATTTTATCCAGAAATCACACGTTTGAGAGACAGACATCATTATAGCAGATCAACACAGACACACTGCAAAACATGAGTAGTTTGGCCGAGCGTAGTGGCTCATGCCTGTAATCCCAGCACTTTGGGAGGCCGAGGTGGGCGGATCACAAGGTCAGGAGATCGAGACCATCCTGGCCTACATGGTGAAAACCCATCTCTACTAAAATACAAAAAATTAGCTGGGCATGGTGGCGCAAGCCTGTAATCCCAGCTACTCAGGAGGCTGAGGCAGGGGAATTGCTTGAACCCGGGAGGCAGGGGAATTGCTTGAACCCAGGAGGCAGAGGTTGCAGTGAGCTGAGATCGCACGACTGCACTCCAGCCTGGTGACAGAGCAAGACTCCGTCTCAAAAAAATAAGTTTTATTATTAAATTTAAACTTTCCAGCAAAGCCAGTGAGGGTGATGGATAAGATGCACATAGATAACCGGAGAGAGGCACAAAGTGTGATGAGGTCAGAGAATAAATAGCTCACATTCTTTGAGGGCAATAAGGACCTAAAGTCTTTCTTCTGTTGTGGGAGAGATGAGAGCCCAGATAAAGAGAAGGGAATAAACTATGGCAGGCTGGTGATCTGAGGTAGAAAAGCAAGTTTCTTTTTTTTTTTTTTGAGATGGAGTTTTGCCCTTGTTGCCCAGGCTGGAGTGCAAAGCGTGATCTTAGCTCACTGCAACCTCTGCCTCCCGGGTTCAAGCAATTCTGCTGCCTCAGCCTCCTGAGTAGCCAGGACTACAGGTGCCCACCACCATGCCCAGCTAATTTTGTATTTTTGGTAGAGATGGGGTTTCACCATGTTGCCCAGGCTGGTCTCGAACTCCTAGGCTCAAGTGATCCTCCCACCTAGGCCTCCCAAAGTGCTGGGATTACAGGTGTGAGCCACTGTGCCTGGCCAGGGTGAGTTTTTTCACCCAGTAATTTTTGTTCCCTTTTATTGGCCTGAACTTGTCTGAATCCCCTACCCTCCTCCATACATACATACTAGCTACTAGAAGGTATAAAAGAGTAGGAAATAAATGTCTTAAATCTTTCCAGATTAACAAATTTGTATTGAGCTCTGATAACTCTAATGAATCATTGAGCAACACCAAAGTTTGAAAATGGTTGATCTCACTTGAGATTAACTTTGAATGTGTTGCTCCTGGTTTTGCAATTACCTGACAGGTTCTTCCTGTCTGCTGCACAAAATTAATCCATTGAGACCATGGCATTGCAGTAAAGAAAGAGTTTAATTGATTTGAGGCTGGCCATGCCACATGGAAAAAGAGACACTACTCAATCTCCCCAAAAATTCGGAGGCTAGTACAGTTTGGAGGCCAAGTACAGTTTAGTGGGCAGGGAGCTAAGGAAGGGACAATGCTGATTGGCTGGGGAATGCAATCACAGGACAGTGGAGAACGGCCCTCTTGTGCTAAGTCCACTTCAGGGTGGGGACCCCCAGAGGAGTTGCTGGTCTGGCTGGGGCCATCTGGTAGTCAGCAATGCAAAAGCCTGAAAAGACATCTCAAAAGGCTAGTCTTAGGTTCTACAATAGTGATGTCATTTATAGGAGTAACAGGGAAGTTGCAGATCTTGGGACCCCCGGAATAATGGCTGGTAGTCATTTTTTTTTTTAATTAGAAAAATTATTTATTTCTGCTCCTTTCATACATCTTATTGTTCAGGAAACAGTCTTACATACATATCTGAAATAATCTACCGTCACACACTCTAGTTAAAGGCAAAGCACCATAGGTAAACCTGATCAGCTGTCCAGAGTTCTCAGCTTATGGAATCTTGCTTCTTGATTTTACGTTAATTTCTGAAAACAGAAACGCCATCTCCAAAAGGTGTTAAGGGGGTTGTAAAAAATAATCACTTTATTTGATATTATAGCTGTAAATATGGAGCTTTTTTTTTTAAGAAATGAAAAACTAAGAAGAAAATGCCACTCAACATCGTTGGTACAGCAATGGGTCAGCAGGGGAAAAAAAAATACTGTGATAAACTTGTCTCTTTAATACCAAGAAGGAATTCTAGTCCAAGCTTCAATACACTTCCTGTTTTTTCACTCGGTATTTCTTTTACTGCTGCTCTTCATTCTTTTCCACATTTCATATTAGAGGATTGGACAGCCTTTAAACTTCATTGACAGGAGCAAATCCAGTATCCATTGAGTTCTTCTCAAAGGCACTCTAACCCATCAGATAGCCCTTCTCAAAGGCACTCTAACCCATCAGATAGCCCGGCAGTTTCATTCTCATGAATACTCTAGCCATGAAAAAGCTCAATAGGACACAAACGAATCCAATGAATAGAAGAAGAAATCTATTGAGTTTTGGGATATTTGGTGCATTCCATCGGTCCAGGAATATGAAACCTAAACCTCCTATTGTAAACAGGAAGCTGGATGCAAGTCCTTCCATAATACATTGTTCATTTACTCTGTAGGCCAAGAAAGCTACTGGCCTCTGATGCCCGTGTTCATCAGTCATAGAGCCAATGCTTGGAGGTTCAACAATAACATCATAAATTATTCCTCCAGTGACGAGGAAGTAAGACACCACCATCAGAGCATACACAATCATGGCCGACAGCACTTGCAGCCAGGGCGGCTTCTTCAGCTTCAGGTTGGGACATTCGAGCACTAAGAATGGGACACGGTACAAAGTCTCCATGTTAGTGGCAGCAAGGGTGGCTGGTAGTCATTTAACTATGCTTACGTTTTAGCAGAGTTCAGGCACCTCTCATCCTCCTAACCTGGTGGTTAGTTTTACAAGGGTGGTTCGGGTATTATCATTTAAACCATAAACTAAATTTTTCCCAAAGTTAGCTTGACCCAAACCCAGGAATGACCAAAGGCAGTTTGGAGGTTAAAGGCATATTATGGGTGCGATGGCTCATGCCTGTAATCCCAGCACTTTGGGAGGCCGAGGCAGGCAGATCACGAGGTCAGGAGATCGAGACCATCCTGGCTAACACGGTGAAACCCCATCTCTACTAAAAATAAAAAAAAATAAAAAATTAGCCGGGCATGGTGGCGGGTACCTGTAGTCCCAGCTACTGGGGAGGCTGAGGCAGGAGAATGGCGTGAACCCAGGAGGCGGAGCTTGCAGTGAGCTGAGATCATGCCACTGCACCCCAGCCTGGGCGACAGACCGAGACTGTATCTCGAAAAAAAAAAAAAAAAGGCAAGATGGAGTTGGTTAGATCAACAGGTCTCTTTCACTGTCATAATTTTCTTATTGTTTCAATCTTAGCAAAGGCGGTTTCAACCCAATTAAGATAGGAAAGAAAAATTGTCTTGACATTGGATCTTGGACACACCCTCGTCTTAGTGCTTTGGCATTTGCTCCTCCCCCTGTTGGGACACGCTTCCCCCGGGGTATTTAATGGCTCTCCCTCAATTCCTTCAGGGATCTGTTAAATGCGGCTTCCTCAGAAAGCCTTCCTTGTTCACCCCATTTGAAACAGTGCTCTCATCAACTCCAACCCTTTCTTCTGCTCCAACATCTTCATAACACTTAATTCTACCCAACATTAGAGTACATAGCAATTTGTTCATACATTTATGGTCGTTTTGCTTGTTAGAACGTACACTCCACGGACAGCCACTTTACCTGGTACACTGAAGGCACTCAGTAAATATTAGTTGAATGAATGAATGATTGGATGAGTGAATGAATGGCCATTTGGCTTATCACGTAACTCTACATGTGATTGGCTAAAGAGTCTTGCTGAGGTCCAGGAAACAGAGACCTAGGGAGGAAAGGCTCTCCTGTCACCTGCAGGTCACCTAGGTCACCAGGCAGAGGCATAACTGCCTCTACTGCTAGAAGGAATATCTTTTGTTAGCTAATTACATAGCAAGAAACTCCACTTTTGGCTGGGTGCGGTGGCTCATGCCTGTAATCCCAGCACTTTGGGAGGCCAAGGTAAGAGGATCACTTGAGCCCAGGAGTTCAAGACCATCCTGGGCAACACAGTGAGATCCCATCTCTACGAAAAATACAAAAATTAGCCAGGTGTGGTGGTGCGTGCCTGTAGTCTCCACTACTCGGGAGGCTGAGGTGGGAGGATCAGTTGGGCCTGGCAGGTGGAGGCTGCAGTGAGCCAAAATCACACCACTGCACTCCAGCCTGGGTGACAGAGTGGGACCCTGTCTCAAAAAAAAAAAAAAAAAAAAACAAAAAACAAAACTCTACTTTCTGGAAATCACGAATGCAGATACTTTATAATAGCTATAGCTGTAAATATTTTCAAAACCTAATTGGGGCTTATGGATTAAAAAGTATATTAGCTGAAAACATTTTGACTCAACACAATTATACCCAGTGGCATTAGAAGAGAAGCACTTAATGATACATTATGCTTGTGGCTAACAAAGCATTTGCACTAAATGGGTAACATTTTCATTTCCTATTTCAATTTCCACATCGTTTGTAGAGAGCTTCATTACATACACCCCAAACCTAAGTGAAAGATTGAGCCTGTAAATTAGGATTCTGACTTCCCCATTTACTCCAAACTCTTAAATGGCTTATTTTCTATTTCTACAAAAGCCAGAGATCAAGAATTCACGCAAAAGTCAGGGGATTTAGGAAATATTAATTCATCTCCCTTAGGGAGCCCAGTGCCAAAAGACCAACCACAAATTTAAAAAATAATTATACATTGCAGGGAGGCAGAGGTGAACAGAAGACGGAGACAAGGACAAAGTCATGATAAGAAGAGAGGAACTGTTTTTTACAGAAGCTGACAACATAAGGAAACATGTTAGCTCCCTTTTTCTAAAAGGTAAGGAAGGACAACTATGAAATTAATTGTTCTGTTAGTGGACTATCAAGGCAATTAAGTCTTGATCTATTCGGTATATTTCCTCTTCAAATCATAACACTTATTGAAATCTGGAGAGTTGGAGTCATGGTGTAAGAGTCTTGTATTTTCCGTGGGCTGTGTGAAGGTGATAGCATTTTGCACATTCCGCTGGTAGCACGTATCTTGCTGCACTGTAACGTTGTTTACATTTATATGCACCGTGATGGATTATGAACTCCTGCGGGTCTGGGCCTCTGGACTCATAATCCTCTGTACACCAGTACAACCCATTAAACATTTCACAGATCAACTATGAAGCAGATGCACCTTTACCCTACAGTTCCTTAAAACTCATTCCATATTCAATTAATATCCAGAAGGTCTAGAAAATTCTTAGTCCAGCAATGAAATCTGGTAGTTTGTCAAGAGTCAACTGGTGTTCAGTTGTTTTTAAAAAACAGATTAGAGTTACTTAAAAATTTTCTATGGGAAGCTGAGGAGGGAGGACTACTTGAGCCCAGGAATTCAAGGCTGCAGTAAGCTATGATTGCACCACTGCACACCAGCCTGGGTGACAGAGCGAGACCCTGTCTCTAAAAAAAAAAATTCTCTGAAAGTGCAATGAGAGAGTTTGTAGTGAATAGAATGCTAAATAAATATTTGAGAAATATATTCAAAGTGTGATAGGAGAAATTTAATTTTCACAGATAAAATAAGCTTCTCAATGACAAATAACTTTGCAAAAAATTTGTTGCCACAATGGCACTCAAATGTGTATTCACTTTCCTGTATTCACTAATACTTTACTGTTTTTCTTTTCTGTTTTTGTTTTTCATTGTTGTTGTTGTTTGTTTGTTTGTTTGGACAGGGTCTCCATCTGTCGCCCAGGTTGGAATGCAGCAGCACAATCTCAGCTCACTGCAGCCTCGACCTTCTGGGCTCAAGTGATCCTCCCTCCTTAGCCTCCCCAAGTAGCTGGGACTGCAGGTATGCACCATCATGCCTGGCTAACTTTTTTGTATTTTTAGTAGAGACAGGGTCTTACTCTACTTACTCTACTCCATGTTGCCCAAGCTGGTTTTGAACGCTCAAGTGATCCACCCGCCTCAGCCTCCCATAGTCTGGGACTACAGGTGTGAGCCAGTACACCTGGCCCTGTTTTTCAAATACTATAACTGCTTCCCCAGTTGGAAATTCTAAGGATCAGTATTGACCCATTCACTCGTTTACTCACTGATTCACTTAACCAATATTTATCGAGTTCTCACCATGTGTCTAAGCACTAAGGATATATATATATATATATATATATATATATAATTTTTTTTTTTTTGAGACGGAGTCTCACTCTGTCGCCAGGCTGGAGTGCAGTGCCGTGATCTCTGATCACTGCAACCTCTGCCTCCCGGGTTCAAGCAATTCTCCTGCCTCAGCCTCCCGAGTAGCTGGGACTACAGGTGAGCACCACCA
The DNA here is from genome assembly GCF_000001405.40 of Homo sapiens. Classification (NCBI taxonomy): domain Eukaryota; kingdom Metazoa; phylum Chordata; class Mammalia; order Primates; family Hominidae; genus Homo; species Homo sapiens. The sequence goes on from NC_000006.12 coordinate 158,845,781, forward strand.
CGCCCAGCTAATTTATGTACTTTTAGTAGAGACGGGGTTTCACCATGTTGGCTAGAATGGTCTCAATCTCTTGACCTCATGGTCCGCCCGCCTCGGTCTCCCATAGTGCTGGGATTACAGGCGTGTAAGGATATTTTAGTGTATGAATATAGACATGCCATTGTGGAGCTTAGAGTTATCAAACCAATACACAAATAGTCGAAACATTTCAGCTGTGATAAGAAGATGTATTTGCTGCACCTGGTGCTAAAGTTATTATAAGGGAGATTTGCTTTAAGCCGGGTCCTCAAGGGAAGCTCCCTAGAAGAAATGATGAATAAACTAAGATCTGGAGGGTTGTAGATGAACCAGGTCAACAGAGCGGGGAAGAGCGATGCAGGCACAAGAGAAGCCAAAGTTTCTGGTGTGGGAAGCAAAGCCAGTGGGGCAGAGGCTGGAGACCGTGCCAGGGCATAGATAGGTGTTACGGAATTTGACTTATCCTTGGAAAATGGGAAGTCACTGAAGTGCTTTAAGCCAGAGAGGGGATGGGTTGAGCTATGGTAAGATCTGATTTGCCTTGCCCGAGGCGCTCTGATCCTGTGCAGAGGAAATATTAGGGGGCAGTTGAATTGGATTAGGAGTTAGGTGACTTGGACAGGAGGCTTGAGGGAGGCCTAACGTGCCCCAATCCCGCAAACAGTGGCTCCTTCTTAGCAAAAGTCAGTGTTTTGCTGCAAAATTAAAATAAAAGCTGAAAATGTACTTCCCAACTTATAAGGAGATGGAATGCCAGCCACATTGAACCCAAATGATTTTTTAAATGTAATTGTTCCGCCACAAAGCCTACAAGCTTCTTAAAGGCAGGACATGTATATTATTATTATTGATTGTGTCTTCAGGCCAAACATACCAGATAAAGTGATTAAATGGTTGTCAAATACATGAAGAAAGCATGGTGTGTTTGTTTGCTAGGGCCACCGTGACAAAGTACCACAGACCAGGTGGCTGAAACAATAGAAATGTATTTTCTCATCTTCTAGCGGGTAGAAGCCTGGGATCTGCTGGGTGCAGTGGCTCAGACCTATAATCCCAGCACTTTGGGAGGCCAAGGAGGGAGGATCACTTGAGGCCAGGAGTTTGAGACCAGCTGGGAAAACACAGCAAGACCCTGTCTCTGTTTTTTAAAAAGAAGAAGTCTGGGATCGAGGTGTGGACAGGGCTGGCTCCTCTTGCGGTCTGAGGGAAGGATCTGTCCCAGGCCTCTCTGCCCGGTAAATTGCTGCTTTTTCGTTGTCTTCTCATCCTCTTCCTCTATGTATGCTTCTGGGCCCAAATTTCCCCTTTTATGACACCGGCCGTTTTGGATTAGAGCCCACTCTACTGACCTCATTTTAAGCTTCACTGCCTCTGTATAGACCCTATCCCAATCCAAATAAGGTCACAGTCTGAAGTATCGGGTGTTAGGGTTTCGACATAGGAATTTGAGGAGATAAAATTTAGCACACACACCCATGGGCTGTGCATTTTGGTAGCTGGGCAGTGTTAGAAGAAGCCCTTTAATGTGGCAGCCTGTGCTAGTAGCCAGTGGGCCCCGTCGTGGGCCAGGCATGAGCAGAGTTGGTGGTGGGTAGGGCAGGGCAGAGAGCATGCCTTTACCTGGTCTCTTCAAAGCCCATCTCATTTTCTTTCTTTCCTTTTTTTTTTCAGATGGAGTTTCGCTCTGTTGCCCAGGCTGGAGTGCAATGGTACGATCTCGGCTCACTGCAACCTCTGCTTCTCAGGTTCAAGCAGTTCTCCTGCCTCAGCCTCCTGAGTAGCTGGGATTACAGGCATGCACCACCACACCTGGCTAATTTTGTATTTTTAGTAGAGACAGGGTTTCGCCATGTTGGCCAGGCTGGTCTTGAACTCCTGACCTCAGGTGATCCGCCGGCCTCAGCCTCCCAAAATGCTGGGATTACAGGCGTGAGCCACTGCGCCTGGCCCCATCTCATTTTCTTGAAAAGGCCCAAGTAAAGTAGATAGATTTTCCAAACTGTTAGAGGTTGAATTGTGTTTCCCACCGAAAAAAAAAAAAATCCTCTGTTGAAATCCTAACTTCCCCAGTACCTAGGAATGTGACTGTATGTGGAAATAGAGTCTTTAAACAGGTAATTAAATTAAAATTAGGTCATTAGTTGTGCTGTAATCCAATATGGCTCATGTGTTTACAAGAGGAAATCTGGACAGACAGGTGCAGGCATGTGAAGACACAGGCAGAAGACGGTCATCTGCAAGCCGAGGTGAGAGACCTCAAAAGAAACCAACCTTGCCGACACTTTAATCTCAGACTTCTATTTGACAGGATGATGAGAACATAGATTTCTGTTGTTTCAGCCACCCAGTCTGTGGAATTGTGTTATGGCAGCCTGAGTAAACTAACACACAATCCAACCTGGCTAGCACTCCTACTCTCAAAGCCCAGGTTTCACTCAATAATTCCAAACCATGGTTCACTTCTTTTTTTAAAATTAGTATTATTATTTTTTGAGATGGAGTCTCACTCTGTCGCCCAGGCTGGAGTGCAGGGGAGCAATCTCAGCTCACTGCAACCTCTGCCGCCCAGGTCCAAGCAATTCTCCTGCCTCAGCCTCCCGAGTAGTTGGGATTACAGGCGCCAGCCACCACGCCCAGCTAATTTTTGTAGTTTTTAGTAGAGATGGGATTTCACCATCTTGGCTAGGCTGGTCTTGAACTCCTGACCTCGTGATCTGCCCGCCTTGGCCTCCCAAAGTGCTGTGATTACAGGTGTGAGCCACCGCGCTCGGCCATTTCACTTCTTATTAATCACGACCAGTGTTTCCTGAGCACTTACCACATGTCAGACATGGTACTAAGAATGTTATCAGTGTTATTTACTTAACCTGTACAAATAGAGATAGGGACTATTATGAACTTAATTTTTATAGAAAAGAAACCTGAGAGTAAGAGACATGAAGAAACTTGCCTGAGGTCATCCAGAAGGAAGAATAAGGAGTCAAGGTGTCTCCAAGGCAATGCCCTTCCACCCCGAGCACCTCTGTGCTGGCCTGAGAACATGTTCCAGGAGGCAGAGCCTCACTTCATGGTGGGGTCTGGGGCACAGCCAACACATCTGGGGGCTTAGATTATGAAGAAGTGAAGGTATCCCTTAAAGCAACTTTCCTAGTTTCTTGGATTGGCTTATGACTCTAGTTTCTTCTTAATTCTTGCAGAAATCATAACCCCTCTATTAACAGTATTAAGACTATGCCATGCTGGCCAGGCACGGTGGCTCACACCTGTAATCCTAGCACTTTGGGAGGCCGAGGCAGGCAGATCATGAGGTCAGGAGATCGAGACCATCCTGGCTAACACGGTGAAAGCCCGTCTCTACTAAACATACAAAAAAAAAATTAGCTGGGCGTGGTGGCGGGCGCCTGTAGTCCCAGCTACTCGGGAGGCTGAGGCAGGAGAATGGCATGAACCTAGGAGGCGGAGCTTGCAGTGAGCCGAGATCGCGCCACTGCACTCCAGCCTGGGCAACAGAGCAAGACTCCATCTCAAAAACAAAAACAAACAACAACAACAACAAACTGATCTTAAGTAGAGGAAAAGAAGATTGAAGATTGGAAGAAAATGACAGATCATCAAATCACAAAGAAATGGGGGAATGTGGAATCTGTCCTTGATGACTGCCACTGAATATTCACACTAACATCACAGTGAGGTCCCTGTTCATTTGTGCAGGAGAACATGTACAAACATTTAGGCAGAACATACGCAGAGTAGAGTATACAGACCTCTCCCTCCTGTTCAGGCTTTTAGCTGGCATTAGGGGTTTGAGACCTTGGAATGTTGTCAAAGAAAAACACACTTTAAAAGCCCGTTTCCAAAAGGGTGACAAACGGGACTGGATGATGTGTTTAACCTCATGAAATATTGAACTCTTGGATGTAAATCTGCCCATATCACTAGAGATGAAAGAGTTATTCCTGTTTTTATGTCTAATTGTGGAACTGGTGAAATTTGCATTTCCCTAGAATCACTGCCCCTGTTGATAGTTGAAACACACAGTTTTGAAGAACAGCAAATCATACTCTAAGAGGCAGTAGTCCCCTATGTCCTGTCGTTTTCCCTGTTTCTGCCTTCTATAGACACCCTTGCCACCACTCAGAAATGTTTGAGACTTTGTGGAGAAAGTAGACTGGTGAGAATTTCCTCGTACTTGGAAGGGTTAAGCACTGAGTCGATCTACAGCAAGTGGCACACCCAGTTTGAGGTCCACGAGGGTGAAGTAATTTATCTGTGAGTCATATCACTGAATACACTGTTCTATAGAATGTTGGTTAGCAACTCACTTCCAAACATCGTGGCCAATGGTTCTGTTAGACATAACATTTGAAAGTGAGATGAGTTGCTCATGTGGGCTTAGCAATAGGCAATGAAACGAATCTGGCATTGAAACAGACGTGGGTTTTTACAATGGGTTTAGACTGAAAAGAAGTGCTGTGTTGCATGAGTCCATCTTCACACTAAGCATGAAAGCCAGAGAAGGACCATCCGGTGCTCCTGGTGGAGACAGTGTCTCGGGACACTGCCTGTGAGGTTTTCAGGATAGGAAAAAGAAGAGAAAAGGAAACCCAGCCCCTTGGTTTTCTTGTTTTATAATGTGGCCATTTCAGAGGCTGTGACTATAGGATTAAATGCTTAGCAATTGGCAGGACTTTATATTGACTGGTGTTTAAAACTTAAAATTCAGTTATTCCAACCACAGATACTATTAAAAGAACTCTGGAGTCAAGAGGAATGAGCAGGCAAGAGGGTGAGGCTGTGTCTATGGCTGGAGGAAAGGTGTGATGAGTTGCTGTTTTGTTGCTAGGCAATAGGTTTTATGTGACAACAATTCCTTTCCTTTAAAGAACTAGAGTGCTCTTTTTGTTTAATGAAAGCATTAGATTTTCTTGGTACAAGAGGTACCCATTGAGTTTACGTGAATATGTGGTATTATAGTAAACAGTGCTTATGAAAGGGAATGCTATTCTATTTTTGAATTCTTTTGTTTTACATTGCCACCTCTAGAAATCATTTGCCTGAGGAGATGTGGTTTTTTCCTTTTCTCAAATGATTTCTGTTGTTTGGCTTGTCTGACTGTAAACCTCTAAATTACCCCCAGCTGTTATGAATGTGCTTCTGAATTTCTCAACAGATAGCATAGCATGTTTGTGTTTGGGGATGTTAGAAGATTTGCTTTTATAATTCCAAACTAGTTAACAAATCCTGATGTAAATATGTTATGGTATCTTCTATATTTCTTCTTTTATTGATCCTATTATAATGTAAAATGTTGTAGACTGCTTATGGTCACATTAAGACAGGGCCATATATCTCTTGCATCCTTATAGCCTTAATACCAATCTAACATAAAACTTGGCATATAGTTTATATCAATAAATGAACGGTTGTTGAATAAGTGAATGAATGGATGCACAAATCATTGATATACTGTTGCATTTTCCAGTGACGTGGATTTATTTATTTATTTATTTATTTATTATTTTGTTTTTGAGATGGAGTCTCGCTCAGTCTCCCAGGCTGGAGGGTAGTAGTACGATCTCAGCTTACAGCAACCTCTGCCTCCCCTGCCTCTCCGGTTCAAGCGATTCTCCTGCCTCAGCCTCCTGAGTAGCTGGTATTACAGGCATCTGCCACCATGCCCTGCTAATTTTTGTATTTTTAGTAGAAGATGAGGTTTCACCATGTTGGCCAGGCTGATGTAAAACTCCTGACCTCAAGTGATTCACCTGCCTCGGCCTCCCCAAGTGCTGGGATTACAGGCGTGAGCCACTGCGCCTGGCCTGATAATATTCTTCTATATTTTAGAGACCATGGAGTTAATTCTAAAAATGGAAAATACTTAGGCCTGAATACCAGCCCATAGGTTTACTATTTTTCCCTAAGGTAATGTCTTCTCCTTAAGCAGCATTAGAGCTTTGCTAACATGCCATCTAAAAATGTACCCCCCAAGCTGGGCTCAGTGGCTCACGCCTGTAATCCCAGCACTTTGGGAGGCCGAGGCAGGCAGATCACCTGAGGTTGGGAGTTTGAAACCAGCCTGACCAACATGGAGAAACCCCGTCTCTACTAAAAATACAAAATTAGCTGGGCATGGTGGCGCATGCCTGTAATTCCAGCTACTCGGGAGGCTGAGGCAGGAGAATTGTTTGAACCCGGGAGGCAGAGGTTGTGGTGAGCTGAGATCGCGCCATTGCACTCCAGCCTGGGCAACAAGAGCAAAACTCCGTCTCAAACAAACAAACAAACAAACAAACAAAAAAATGTATCCCCCCAAGAACAGGAAGAAGTGTCATGGAGGTCTTTTATTTTCAACAATATAGAAACATTTTTGGATGAACTTTGTCTCTCAGGTTTTGGAGAATTAAAATGCCTCCCTTATCCCATCCCTGCCACACTCTAGGACATTGATTCATGTTCCCAAAGAATAATGGTTAGCTTACTGTATGCCAGCTACTATTCTTAGCTCCTTACATGAACTAATCCTTTTAATCCTCACAACTACACTATGAAGCGGATGCTACTATTGTCCACTTTATGGGGGAAGAAACTGAGGCACAGAGAGGTTAGCTTGCCTCGGGACTCTGTCTCTGCTGAGATTGGAAGCAGAAGACTAGTTCCAGAATTCACACTCCTAACCCTACTACAACACCTGCTCTCAAACAGAGAAGGGAAAGGAAGTCCTGGCGTTTGCACTCTCCTTGATCTTGTGCTGGTCTGGTCTGGACATGGACCAAGGCTTGGGGGCCTTGCACACGTAAGTGAGTGCAGATGCCCGGCCCAGCCCCAGGGCTCCCTTGTCCTTGAGCTGGGGCCACGCTGAGGCTGAGGCTGGCCTCCATGGCTTGACTTGAGGCCACCTCCAGATCCACACCCTGAAAGCTTGGGACTGGCCTTCTCAGAGAATGGGGCAAAACACTCTGACGCCAACTACAACCATCACAAGGAGGTACATTCTCTGTAAGGGCAAGCCTGGGGCTGCACCCAAGTAGACTAGCAGACACTCATTACAGAGAGAATGTTCTGGCACTCTGGCCCTGCCAAAGGCTACCAGAACACAGAAGGCCCTTTCTTCCAAGGGGCCGAAGGAGGAGCAGGCACACACCATATGCCTCACTCACCACACGAAACCACACACCACATAGCACACACGCGTGCACCCTCATACCACACTGACCCTTCACCACACACACACCCATACACCTTCATGTCACACATACCACACACACAGATATACCACATGCACCCCATACACCCCACCACACACATACAAACACCACACCATATACACACACACACAGTACAACATACACACTCACACACCATATGCCACACACATATACTTTACACATATACATACCTCCAAACACACACCATGCACACACACGGTACACCATACACACACCACACACTATGCACACACCATGTACCACACACATACCCCTCCAACATCACATGAACACTACGCACCCTCCCCCATACCACACACATACACGCACACGTACCATGCACGCACACACACCACAATGTGCTGTTACTTAACAGGTTTGCCTTCCCACAACTCTATCAGCAAACCCTTCTGGAGGCGCAGCCCACACCTGCATTCCAAAGAACGCAAATCCCTTCCCTGCCCGATGAAAGGCCCCTCCCACAGTGAGTCACAGAAACTGCAGCCGAGCAGGCAGTGGTGGGCCCCACCCTTCTCACAGGAAGTGAGAAAGAGTAAATATGTAGTTTTTCTTTGAGGGCCAATGCACATGTTAAATGGGTGATTAAGAAGACAGAGAGCTGCTTAAAAGGTCATGGGAGAAGTACAATGTCTGGGGACTTGGCAGTAGCCTGGCAGAGACCGCAGGAATCCTATAGAGTCTTTTATGGACAGGGCTCTGAAATTCCAGAGCCTGCAGGAGGTACCTTCCCCTTTGACTCGGCGGGGCTGTACCACTAAGAATGCACTGAGCATTGGGTGCACTTGGGATACCTGAGCTGTGGGGCCAGAGAGGCAGCCCTAGGGGAGAATTCCGGAGTTGGGGCTGGGTTCTTTCAGCATAAAAAATCAAAGTGTCGCTTCTTTAATGAACCTCCCGGCAAGGTCTTCCCTGAAGACCTTGAACAAGTGTTCTTAAACAAGTGTTCCTTTATGCAATTAAAGGCCAGGGAAGCTGGGGTCTGAGAGGCCATGGAGCCATTGGGATAATAGTGACAGTTCGGCTACCATTCAACTGGGCTTCTGATGAATCATGCTGGGGGCAAGGACTCCAAATCACCAGCTCTACTCTATACTCGAATCAGTAGGCAGTTCAGACAGTCTTGGGGGATTTGGGCAAACGAACGCTCCACTTAGAATCTCTCCAGAAAGACAAAGGGGGTGCCTAACAAACAATTCAAGGACTGTGGGAAACCAATGATCATCAAGGGCTCAGTTGTACAGTGTAAACCAAAAAGTATCTGAGACAGGTCTCAATCAACTGAGAAGTTTATTTTGCCAAGGTTAAGGACAGGCCAGGGAGGAAGAAACACGGAATCACAGAAACAGTCTATGGTCTGTGTCGTTCTTCCAAGATGATGTTGAGGGCCTCGATGTTTAAAAGGGAAAAGTGGGCTGGAGAGGAAAGAGGAAGGGCATGGGAATCTACTTGTTGCAAGGGAAAAGGAGCAGGAAGAGGAACAATCAGTTACGTTTCCTCTAGCAGTCTGTAAATTGGTGCTTTACATAAGATGAGCATAGAGTTTAGCTGCCTGTGGTGGGGATATCTAGCCTTTTATCTGTAGCTATCTGCTTAGGCACAAACAGAAAGGCAGCTTCTTGCATGACTCAGCTTCTAGTTTAATTTTTTCCTGTTGCCAAGAAAAAACTGGGGTCCTGAGAGTTTTTCTTTTCCTTTCACAACAGGAAGAAACAAACTACAGAGCCCCTAGGTATACTGGGGCCACCTGGGGTCTTGTTAAAAATGTGCATTTGGGGGAGGGGCGGAGAGTCTGCGTTCCCCCCATGCAGTGCCCAGGCTGCTGCTCTGTAGGCCACACTTTGAATACTGAGAGTACCAGAGAGGACTTGGTGGTAGGGGGTGGTGGGTGGATTCTGGTACAGTTGGAGGGAGGAGGCTTCCTGGGGTGAGGGCACTGAGATGGGTCCTGGTGGTAAGATTGTGTGGGGAGGAGAATAAAGGTACCCCAGATCAACCTTGTGGGGCAACAAGTGACCTGACAAACTCCCATCATGTATGGCCACTGTCCCCCATTCAAGGCCAGGGACCGTTGGAGGAGTTGGAAAGTTAAGAGCTTGAAAACTGGATTCTGCCTCACTGGGAGGTTCACTGACATTTAGTCTTCTCTGAAAGATGGGCATAGTTATACCAATCCTACAGGAGTAGTGTGAAGATTAAATGAGATGACATATAAAGTGCTTAGGGCCTGGGGCAGCATAAGTGGTAGAATATTTGTTCATATTATTATTGTTATTATTATTAGCTGAAGCAATTTTTTTTTTTTTGAGATGGAGTTTTGCTCTTCTTGCCCAAGCTGGAGTGCAGTGGCACGATCTTGGCTCACTGCAACCTCTGCCTCCCAGGTTCAAGCAATTCTCCTGTCTCAGCCTCCCAAGTAGCTGGGATTACAGGTATGCGCCACCATGCCTGGCTAATTTTTTGTATTTAGTAGAGACGGGGTTTCACCACGTTAGGCAGGTCTGGAACTCCTGACCTCAGGTGATCCACCTGCTTCAGCCTCCCAAAGTGCTGGGATTACAGGCCTGCACCACCGCGCCCGGCCCTCCTGTTGACTTCTTTTTTTTCTTTTTTTGAGACGGCGTCTCACTCTGTTGCCCAGACTGGAGTGCAGTGGCACGATCTCAGCTCACTGCAACCTCTGCCTTCTGGGCTAAAGCAATTCTCCTGCCTCAACCTCCCGAACAGCTGGTATTACAGGCATGTGCCACCACGCCCAGCTAATTTTTTTTATTTTTAGTAGAGACGGGGTTTCACCATGTTGGCCAGGCTGCTCTTGAACTCCTGATCTCAGGTGATCCACCCGCCTCGGCCTCCCAGAGTGCTGGGATTACAGGCCTGAACCACCATGCCCGGCCTTCCTGTTTACTTCTGAGCCCTGGGCCAACATACTTCAGAACAGAAGGCCCCTGGTGGCTGGAGGGGCTCTCTTCTCCCTCTTCATGGCCCTGAAGGGGCGGGGCAGTGGTGACACTGAGAGGGACAGGAGAATTGGACCTGCCTTGACAAGACGGCAGCAAGGCCTCATTCCCTGGGGCCTAGAAGAAGGTGACTGCGCTGGGCATACACAGGGGAGAGGATTCAGAGTATTCAAGACGAATATATTGGGTAGAAAAAGTTATTTAAAATATTTGAAACAAGTCTCATTTTTACACTGAAATGTCACAGTCCTTCAGGCTCTCTGTTTTAGCCAAAGGACATCAGGACATGGTCTTACCCGAGATATAGCCAGATTCAGTATAGGTACTTCTTAGTGTTAGGTGTTCTAATGCCTGTGTCCTGCCCCAGCCCTCCATGAGAGCCAAGAGCTGTGCTGAATAGAATTGCTGAGCCCTTGCAGAAGAGGGTGTCATATTTTCCAAATATTCCCTTTGCAAGATAAACTAGCCAGAAGGTAGGAGGTGTCAGGCAGCGCCGAGCACCGGCTGGGCCAGACCTCTGGAAGAGCAACTGGGAATGTTGATTACAGGGCAAGAATCTAAACAGCAGTGATTTATTTTCCAAAGTTGCTGGCACTTTTTAATCCCTTTTTCTCTCTTCCTCTTCCCTTTAACAGGGCAGAGCAAACAATCTTCAGGCCAATGCAATGCTTTGTGGGTTTTTTGCATTGATTTGTACATGAAACCATGTTTTTTTTTTTTTTTTGAGATGGAGTCTTGCTCTGTCGCCCAAGCTGGAGTGCAGTGGCACGATTTCAGCTCACTGCAACATCCACCTCCCGGGTTCAAGCGATTCTCTTGCCTCAGCCTCCTGAGTAGTTGGGATTACAGGTATCCACCACCATGTCTGGCTAATTCTTGTATTTTTAATAGAGATGAGATTTCACCATGTTGGCCAGGCTGGTCTCGAACTCCTGGCCTCAGGTGATCCTCCTGTCTTGGCCTCCCAAAGTGTTCGGATTACAGATGTAAGCCTCTGCTCCTGGCCTGAAACCATGAATTTTTTATGTGGCCATTATTATTTTATAAATGCTGCTTTCTTTCTCTATCTGTTCTTTTCAGTACTTAGCCAGCGTGCAGAGAAGCTTCCCAGTTAGGAGGTGAAGAAACACAAGGCTGCACTGGATGCGGAGGCTCCCACCTGGAATCCCAGCACTTTGGGAGGCCAAGGCTGGAGGATTGCTTGAGCCCAGGAGTTCAAAACCAGCCTGGGCAACATAGTGAGAACCTGTCTCTACAAAAAATAAAAATTACCTGGGTGTGATGGTGCACGCCTGTAGTCTCAGCTACCTGAAGGACAGAGGTGGGAGAATGGCTTGAGACCAGGAGATTGAGGCTGCAGTGAGTAGAGATCACGCTACTGCATTCCAGCCTGGGAGACAGAGCAAGACCTTGTCACAAAACAAAACAAAACAAAACAAAACAAAACAAAACAAAACAAAAAAAACACAAGGCCACCCTTCCTCACGATGCCGCAGGTCCCCTCCCCTTCTCTCAGCATGGCTGGAGAGCCCCTCAACTGTGGCCTGCTGTCCTTGATCCAGTGCCCCACGCTGCCCCACCCTTCTGGGGAGCCCACCTCAAAGAGAACTCCCTGGAGGCTCCTACAGTGGCCTCCGGCTGACCAAAGTGTGCTGTGGGCAGAAGCCCCTGCCTCCCTCACCATGTACTTCCTCATCCCAGATCTCAGTCCCTCAAGGGCCAGGCAGGTGTCATCCAAGACGACAAGCCATCTCAGTCTCATGTACTGTGGGGAGAAGACCTCCCAGAGCCCTCTACCCTCTCCTTGAGTCATACATGCTTTTTTTTTTTTTTTTTTTTTTGAGACGGAGTCTCATTTGTTTGCCCAGGCTGTAGTGAAGTGGCAGGATCTCAGCTCACTGCAACCTCCACCCTCTGGATTCATGTGATTTTCCTGCCTCAGCCTCTTGAGTAGCTGGGACTACAGGAATCCGCCACCATGCCCGGCTATTTTTTTTTTTTTTTTTGTATTTTTAGTAGAGACAGGGTTTTGCCATGGTGGCCAGGCTGGTCTCGAACTCCTGACCTCAGGTGATCCACCCGCCTTGTCCTCCCAAAGTGCTAGAATTACAGGTGTGGGCCACTGCGCCTGGCCCATACATGCATTTTAACAGCTACATTCATGGATGCATTTAGCAAGCAACCTGGCTTCACATGCAAGGCACAGTGCTAGGAATTAGGTCTACAGGGATGAGCAAGATGTGGACCCCGCCTCTGCTGTCTCCAGGCCACTAGGGACGATGGTCGGGGAATAGACCACTGAGATTGAAGTGATGAAAGTCTCAAGGAAAGAACAGGGAGGCAGAGGTTGCAGTGAGCCAAGATTGCGCCACTGCACTCCAGCCTGGGCGACAGAGCGAGACTCTGTCTCAAAACAAAACAAACAAACAAAAAAAGAACTCTGGCATTCCACTGAACACGTTCTCCTTCAAAACTGGGTCCAATCATTCTGCTGACACCAAGAGAGTGCCTAAAGGGACAGCCCAACTCAGGCCTTAGATTTATCTTGAGAGAAAAGTCCTAGAAGCATTTTGATTCTCATAGATGAAAGGACACCAGCACGGAGGACATGATTGGTCTTCTCGCCTCTCAAGCTGCGGTGGTGCTGTCCGATTTGTGCATAGCCAGAGGAAGATTTCCTGAGAAGC